>NC_000021.9:9246087-9377143 GCF_000001405.40 Homo sapiens
GATCCTGTCGAAAGAAACGAATGGAATGGAATGGAGTGGAGTGTAGAGGTGTGGAGTGATGTGGAGTGGAATGGAGTGGAATGGAATGGGATGGATTTGAATGGAAGGAGTGTAGTGGAGTGGATTGGAGTGGAGTGGAGTGGAATGGAATGGAATGGAGTGGAATGGAATGGAATTGAATGGAATGGAATGGAATGGAATGTTGTGGAGTGTATTGGAATGGAGTGAAATAGAGTGTAATGTAATGTAGTGGAATGGAGTGGAGTGGAGTGCAGTGGAGAAGGGTGTAGGGGAATGGAATGGAATAGTGAAATGAAATGTGAGCTGAGATACTCCCACTGCACTCCAGACTGTGTGACAGAATGAGATCCTGTCGAATGGAATTGAATAGAGTGGAATGAAATGGAGTGCAGTGGAGTGGAGCAGAGTGGAGTGGAGTGGAGTGGAATGGAATGGAATGGGATGGAATCAAATGGTATGAAGTGGAGGGGAATGGAGTTGAGTGGAGGGACGAGGAGTGGAATGGAATGGAATTGGATGGAATGGGATGGAGTGGAGTGGAGTGGGGTGGAGAGTAGTGGAGTAGAGTGGAATGGAATGGAGTGGAGTGGAGTAGAGTGGATTGGAGTGTAATGGAATAGAATGGAATGGATAGGAATGGAATGGTATAGAATGGAATGATGAAATGAAATATGAGCTGAGATTGTGCCACTGCACTCCAGCCTGGGTGACAGAGTGAGATCCTGTCAAAGGAAAGGAATGGAATGGAAAGGAGTGGAATGGAATGGAATGGAATGGAATGGATTGATTGGAGTGCAGTGGAGTAGAGGTGAGTGGAGTTCACAGTAGTGCAATGGAATGGAATGGAGTGGAGTCGAGTGCAGTGGAGTGGGTTGGAATGGAATGGAGTGGAATGGAATGGGATGGAATGGAATGGAGTGGAGTGGAGTGGAGTTCACAGGAGTGCAATGAAATGGGATGGAATGGAATTGAATGGAATGGAATGGAATACAATGGAGTGGAATGCAATGGAATGCAATCGAATGGAATTGTGAAATTAAATGTGAGCTGAGATAGTGCCACTGCACTCCAGCCTGTGTGACAGAGTGAGATCCTGTTGAAAGAAATTAGTGGAATGTAAGAGAATAAATTATACTGGAATGGAATGGATTGGAGTGGAGTGGAGAGGAATGGAGCTTAATGGAGTGGAAGGGAATGGGAAGGAGTGGAATGGAATGGAGTGGAGTGGAGTGGAGTGGAGAGAAATGAGGTAAAATGCAATGGGATGGACTGGAATGGAGTGGAGTGGAGTGGAGTGAATTGGAATGGAGTGGATTTGACTGGATTGCAGTGGAATGAAGTGGAGTGGAATGGAATGGAATGGAATGGAATGGAATGGAGGGGAGTGGAGTGGAGTTGAGGGGAATGGAGTGGAGTGGAATGGAGTGGAATGGAATGGAATGGAATGGTGAAATAAAATGTGAGCTGAGATTGTGCCACTGTGTTCCAGCCTTTTTTTGACACAGTGAGAGCCCGTCAAAGGAAAGGAATGGAATGGAATATGGTGGAATGGAATGGAGTGGAGTGGATTGGAGTGGAGTGGAGTGGAGTCAAGTGGAACAGAGTGGAATGGAATAGGATGGAATCGAATGGCATGTAGTGGAGTGGGATGGAGTGAATTTCAGTGGATTAGGGTGGAATGGAGTGGAATGGAATGGGATGGAAGGGAATGGCATGGAGTGTAGTGGAGTGGACTGGAGTGGGTTAGAATGGAATTGAATGGAATGGTATGGAATGGAATGGAATGGAATGGAATGGAATGGAATGGTGAAATTGAATGTGAGCTGAGATAGTGCCACTCCACTCCAGCCTGGGTGACAGATTGAGATCCTGTCAAAAGAAAGGAATGGAATTGAATGGAGGGGAATGGAATGGGATGGAGTGGGGTGGAGTGGAGTGGAGTGGAGGGGACTGGATTTGAGTGGAGTCTAGTGGAACAGAGTGGAATGGAATGGGGTGGAGTGGAACGGAATGGAATGGAGAGGAGTGGTGTGGAGTGGAGTGGATTGGAATTCAATGGGATGGAATGGTATGGAGTGGAGTGGAATGGAGTGGAGTGGAATGGAATGGAATGGAATGGAATTGGAATGGAATGGAATGGAATGGAATGGAGAGGAGAGGAATGGAGTGGAATGTAGTGTAATTGGAAAGGATGGAATGGAATGGAATGCCATGGAATAGAATTAGGAATAGAATGGAATGATGTGGAATGGAATGGAGTAGAATTCAGTGGAGTGGAGTGGAGTGGAGTGGAATGTAATGTAATGGAATGGGATGGGATGGAGTGGAATGGAATGGAGTGGAGTGGAGTGGAGTGGAGTGGAATGGAGTGGAATGCAATGGGATGTGATGGAATGGAGTGGAGTGGAGTTGAGTGGATTGAAATAGAATGGAATGGAGTGGAGAGGAGTGTAGTGGAATGGAATGGAATGGAATGGAATAGAAGGGAATAGAATGGTGAAATGAAATGTGAGCTGAGATTGTGCCACTGCACTCCATCCTGGGTGACAAGTGAGATTCTATCGAAAGAAAGGAATGGAACGGATTAGAGTGGAATGGAATGGAGTGGGGTAGAGTGGAGTGGAGTGTAGTGGAGTAGAGTGGAATAAAGAGGAATGGAATGGGATGTAATGGAAAGGAATGCAGTGGAGTGGAGTAAAGTGGAGTGGAGCGGAGTGGAGTGGTGTGGAGTGGAGTGGAGTGGAGTGGAGTGGAGTGGAGTGGAATGGAATGGAATGGAATGGAATGGAATGGAATGGAATGGCACGGTGAAATGAAATGTGGGCTGAGATTGTGCCACTTCACTACAGCCTGGGTGACGGAGTGAGTTCCTGAAGAAATAAAATAATGTAATAGAATGGATTGGAATGAAATGGAATGGAGTGTAGTGGACTGGAGTAGAGTGGAATGGAGTGGAGTAGAGTGGAAGGGAATGGAATGAAATGAGATGGAATGGAATGGAATGGAATAGAATGGAGTGGAGTGGAGTGCAAAAATCCTCAATAAAATACTAGCAAGCCGAATCCAGCAGCAAATCAAAAAGCTTATCCACCATGATCAAATGGGTTTCATCCCTGGGATGCAAGGCTGGTACAACATACGCAAATCAGTAAACGTAATCCATCATATAAACAGAACCAACGTCAAAAACCACGATTATCTCAATAGATGCAGAAAAGCCCTTTGACAAAATTCAACAACCTTCATGCTAAAAACTCTCAATAAATTAGATATTGATGGGACGTATCTCAAAATATTAAGAGCTATTTATGACAAACCCGCAGCCAATATCATACTGAATGGGCAAAACCTGAAAGCATTCCCTTTGAAAATCTCAGTTACCTTTCTTTTGGATATGAGTGTGAGGAAAGAGTACCTACAAACTACCCTTTTAGTTAAATGCCATATACAATAAATATTAATACCTACAGTCCTCATGTTGTACATTAGAGCCCTCAATTTGTTAATTCTACATATCTGCAACTTTGCATCCTTCGAATTCTCTCTCTCCATTTTCTCTTCTCACCCCCAGCCCCTGGTAACCACTGTTTTATACTCTATCTCTGCATATTTACCTTTTTGCTGTTTTTGTCCTGAGAAGTTTATTGGGACTTTCAGCTAGGAGATAATATGTTCTGAGTCTTGATTATCTCAAATTATATCAGGTAAGAAGTTTTACTTGTCTGGAGAGCAGAGAGCAAGTGCATAATTTTATGCAGAAGAGGGAATAAAGAGAATTCTCTAATTAAAATTTGAATCAGAAATATGGTTCATATTTTTATGTACAACAATCTCTAAGGCTTCTTGGAAAGGAACTAGCTGCCTGATTTTTTTTCATTTGAATCCTCTAATACATGAAGAGGATGATTCTACCATACCAATCACAAGAATGATATCTGTAGAATCAAAAGTTGAAATCCTATTATCCTAGAAGTTTTTTCAGAAAACTTGAACATGTATTGAAATGTCATGCTGGTCATATATGTTACAGCAATGAGGAATTTACTTATTATATACTTTAGCTTTTTAGCCCTTTCCCTGCCCACCAGAAATGTTTCTTTTGAATCCAATTTGGTCCTCAGAGTTTTAGAATGTTAAGGAATGTATAGGGGTATCTTTTTTCTTCTTTTTTTTTTTTGTCAAGCTATTGTATATTTTTACTTTACCTGTTTGGGTATGTAGTTACTATTTGTTTGGACTGTCATACTAGAAAAAAATTATAGTGAATTTTACATGTATGGAGTCTTCATTAATCTGTATAAACTGACAAGTTTAGAATATCAAAGTCATCACTGTAAAAAATAAAGTGATATTTTATCTGGTCTATCTCCTTGCAAATAAAAGAACAATAAATTCTGTACTATTATGAAATATAAGAGCTTGAAAATTTTTCAAGCGTCTTGTATAGAATGGCCTTCGAATTCAAGGTATAAACTACAACAAAACACTTTCGAGATCTAGTTTGATTGAAGAGTGCATTCTTACTTATTTATATATTCTCTGCAATTTCTGATTCAAGATAGTCCACAATTCTAAAGGAAAACCAAAATAGAATAATAATTATAAAACAAAATAAAAAGTAATTGAGGAAGATAATTGAGCAACTTATTCTTGACAACTAGCTTTTTAACAAACAGAAAAGTGCACTAAAAATACTGCCTAGTTGTTTAAAGTAGGCTGAGATCTGACTGTATCCCCTGAGTGACATAAAGAAAAAACTACCTTTGAGGAAGCACAGTGATTAAATTTAAAAGATTTATTGTTTAACCTCAGGAAGACTTTCAATAACTTTTTATAAATTGTATACAGTTAATGGAAGACATGCTAGGCTTCTTGTAAGAATTTATTCCAGATCACTGTGTATAATTAATGGCTTGTCTACATATTTTTTCAATAAAACTGTTCATGAAGAATTTTAAGTATGCACTTTCAGTAACAGAATGGATATATCTTTGTGAAGATACCATTTATGTACCATAACATCCAAAGCATAATGAGGAGATTTTGATACACTGCAGATTTAGAACTGAGTTGGAAAACAAAACTTCAACATACTGTCTTGTCAGCACAAAGCAAATAAATTCATCACTGTCAGTTGAGATTTAAATTCACAAACTTATAAGCAATAAAATCAAAGTAATTTTGTTATAAGTTTTTTGACACCAGATTATATGGGGTAAATAATTTACTTTCTAATCAAGCAATTGATACATATAAACCTGAAATAGAGAGTTTTGCCTTTTAATTAGATACATTGTTACGCAAAGAGTGGTTGAAGCTGCAGTGGAGAATTATCTTTTTCTCTTTTTGCTGTTCTTACAAGGACAGTTTCTAGAATTCTTTTCAAAACAATAGAACAGAAAATTTCACTTACTTAATTTAACTTTTGTTAAAGTACTTTGCCAAAATTAGCAAACTATGAAAGGAAAGTTTGCCTTTTCAATATATATGTAAGTGGCAAGTAAAAGTTGTTCTTAAATCACGTGATCTCATAGAAATAACATGGGATAAAAAGAGTTCTGAAGGTGTTCAGGAAATGCCAGTCCTAAATGTATTGCTTTGGTGTACTGATTATATTGAACTGAAAATATTTGAAAAATAACAACTGTGGGACATGCTTTCTCTGCACTCCCTTTACGTTCCTCAAGAGAGATCCTCCAAAAGGAATTTTCAATACCAGAATGAATGTATCTTTGTAAAGATACCATTTATCTACCATAACATCCAAAGCATGATGAGGAGATTTTTATACACTGCAGATTTAGAACTGAATTGGAAAACAAAGCTTCAAGATACTGTCTTGTCAGCACAAAGACATTCATCTCCTTCCTAGGAGTTTCATCAGCCAGGGAAAATTGACTCCTCATATCACAGGAGACAAGACTAAGAGTCCATTCCACACCAAGGCAGACTGCCACAAACTATCATCTATGCTCCTAGGGGTCTGGTCATCTTTCCCAAAAGTCATTTGCTCTCCCTTAAGTTTCCTACATTCTTCCTCCTGCCTTCCCTACAAGCTCCTAAATCTCCCTGGGTTTTTTTCTTGGTGGTGTTTTGTTTGTTTTGTTTTGTTTTGTTTTTGATTCCACGTTTCTTTCCTGTGATTCCCCCATGCGTGTAATAAATGTGTACACATTTTCTTCTTTTGACATGCCTGTTATCCATTTATTCAATAGACTCAGTTATCATACCTTCAGAGGGTAGAGGGAAAGGTCTCCAAGTCCTACAGTTCCAAAAGAAAATAGCTAGTAATGCAAATGCAAAAGTCATATAAACTTTGAGACAAAGTTAGCGTCTTATATGGTACGTTCAGAAAGAAGAGGTGTGTTGCACACCAAGGGACATTTTCCTGGTCTTAGCTACTAAGTTTCTCTGAGAAGAAGCAGTTACTACTACAGCAGTTAAACACCTGACTCCCAAATTATAAAAGCCTAAGTGTTCAGATTAAATCATGAGTTGTCACCTGTGAATCATAAAGTCTGAACTCTTTAAATTGCAAACACACATAGAAAAACGATTCTTACACAGGGATCCATGAGTGGAACTGCAAAGTTTTGTCAAAATCTATATATATGTTTTCTTTTTAAGGGTCATAGATTTCAATATATGTTAAAAGATATCTGGGGCTAGTAAAGATTAATAACCATTTTCAGTTTTGTGCTGAAATTGGCAAATCATGGCTTTTCTCCCTCCAACACACCCCCTCCCGCCTCAGCACACCACTGGTTAATCTTTATTTTCAGGAGAGAAAAAGATGTTTCATATTAATAAAGGTAAATTATACACTTGTTTGTTTTATACTTTTCCACCTCTTAAGCTTAATCGTGTTTTAATAATGTATAATTGAATACATTAACATTTAGATGTTAGTAAATGAATAACAAATGTTCATTGTTTCTCTTGAGTAGAGGAATAAAAATTTTGCACCTGTTGTATAGAATGATTTTTAAAATCTCATTCAATCCTTCAGAAGTTTAAGATTTTTTTTCAAGAATTTTTATATAAAATTTTTACTCAGAAGCAGATAGCTCACAAAAAGTATGGGGGTTTTTTGGATTATAAATAAACTATTCCACTCACCAAGATGCTGAGACATCCTACTTTGTGGTATTTTGAAATAAAAACAAAACACAAGAATGTGACGATGAAGCAAGTGAAAATTAAAAGGGTACAGACTTTAGAAGTATCATAAGCTAAAAATAAAATGAAACAAACCTGTAAAGGAACCAAAAGCCCAGGTAGATATAATACAGTAAATTATGAGAAGCTAAAAAAAATGAGGAGGTGATAAACAATAAAGTGAAAATCTCTGATAAAGCCAAAACTACTTGAATGGCAGTCAACAAAACAGAAGAAAAAAATGACACTCATAACAAGGCAGAACTATGGAAATGCATCCCTGGGGGTAAGATAATAGAGTTGCGAATTAGTGGAGGTGGATCACAAATACTGGCCAAATAAAGCCCGCTAACATAATTCAAAGGACAGAGAAATTCTGTAGCTGAAGATAAAAAGTCTGAAATACATTATGGTATAGTCAAATGAGTGTCATTTCTAATAGACACACTTATTTTTCAAGAGTTGATAATATGAAGTAAAAATTTAGTATGCAAAGTTCAAATTTTCCATTTGTTGAGTAATTCATTTTTATTAAATATTTTCCAACAATTAAACTAAAGTGGTACCAGAACAGAGTAGACATTCTGAGTTTTCACTTTACAAAAGCTACACATAAATCTACGTACTTCTTAAGGGTATAAACAAAGTCAGAGCCTGTGTGATATTTCAATAAACAATTGGAGAAAATTTTTTTAAGAATAGATTATATACATATTGACCTCTTTGAGAACCTTATTTTTTTCTTTTTTTTGTGTGTGTGTTTGTTTTTTTTTGTGTGTGTGTGTTTTCATTTCTTTTTTAAATTATTATTATTATACTTTAAGTTTTAGGTTACATGTGCACAACGTGCAGGTTCGTTACATATGTATACATGTGCCATGTTGGTGTGCTGCACCCATTAACTCGTCATTTACATTAGGTGTATCTCCTAATGCTATCCCTCCCCCCTCCCCCCACCCCACAACAGTTCCCAGTGTGTGATGTTCCCCTTCCTGTGTCCATGTGTTCTCATTGTTCAATTCCCACCTATGAGTGAGAACATGCGGTGTTTGGCTTTTCATGCTTGCGATAGTTTACTGAGAATGATGGTTTCCAGCTTCATCCATGTCCCTACAAAGGACATAAACTCATCATTTTTATGGCTTCATAGTATTGCATGGTGTATATGTGCCACATTTTCTTAATCCAGTCTATCATCGTTGGACATTTGGGTTGGTTCCAAGTCTTTGCTATTGTGAATAGTGCCACAATAAACATACGTGTGCATGTGTCTTTAGAGCAGCATGACTTATAATCCTTTGGGTACATACCCAGTAATGGGATGGCTGGGTCAAATGGTATTTCTAGTTCTAGATCCCTGAGGAATCACCACACCGACTTCCACAATGGTTGAAATAGTTCACAGTCCCATCAACAGTGTAAAAGTTTTCCTATTTCTCCACATCCTCTCCAGCACCTGTTGTTTCCTGACTTTTTAATGATTGCCATTCTAACTGGTGTGAGATGGTATCTCATTGTGGTTTTGATTTGCTTTTCTCTGATGGGCAGTGATAGCATTTTTTCATGTGTTTTTTGGCTGCATAAATGTCTTCTTTTTAGAAGTGTCTGTTCATATCCTTCACCCACTTTTTGATGGGGTTGTTTTTTTCTTGTAAATTTGTTTGAGTTCATTGTAGATTCTGGATATTAGCCCTTTGTCAGATGAGTAGGTTGTGAAACTTTTCTCCCATTCTGTATGTTGCCTGTTCACTCTGATGGTGGTTTCTTTTGCTGTGCAGAAGCTCTTTAGTTTAATTAGATCCCATTTGTCAATTTTGGCTTTTGTTGCCATTGCTTTTGGTGTTTTAGACATGAAGTCCTTGCCCATGCCTATGCCCTGAATGGTATTGCCTAGTTTTTTTCTATGGTTTTTATGATTTTAGGTCTAACATGTAAGTCTTTAATCCATCTTGAATTAATTTTTGTATAAGGTGTAAGGAAGGGATCCAGTTTCAGCTTTCTACATATGGCTTGCCAGTTTTCCCAGAACCATTTATTAAATAGGGAATCCTTTCCCTAGTTCTTGTTTTTGTCAGGTTTCTCAAAGATCAGATAGTTGTAGATATGCGGCATTATTTCTGAGGGCTCTGTTCCATTCCATTGGCCTCTATCTCTCTTTTGGTACAAGTACCATGCTCTTTTTGTCACTGTAGCCTTGTAGTATAGTTTGAAGTCAGGTAGCGTCGTACCTCCAGCTTTGTTCTTTTGGCTTAGGATTGACTTGGCAATGCAGGCTCTTTTTTGGTTCCATATGAACTTTAAAGTAGTTTTTTCCAATTCTGTGAAGAAAGTCATTGGTAGCTTGATGGGGATGGCATTCAATCTATAAATTACCTTGGTCAGTATGGCCATTTTTACAATATTGATTCTTCCATGAGCATGGAAGGTTCTTACATTTGTTTGTATCTTCTTTTATTTCATTGAGCAGTGGTTTGTAGTTCTCCTTGAAGAGGTCCTTCACATCCCTTGTAAGTTGGATTTCTAGGTATTTTATTTTCTTTGAGACAATTGAGATCCTTATTGTGAGATTCAATTCAGAATCTGGGATTTTGTTTTGTTTTGAGATGTAGTCTCTCTCTGTCACCAGGCTGGAGTACAGTGGCACAGTCTCTGCTCACTGCAATCTCTGCCTCCCAGGTCCAAGCGATTCTCCTGCCTCAGCCTCCCAAGTAGCTGGAACTACAGGCACGTGCCACCATACCCAGCTAATTTTTGTATGTTTTTTTAGTAGAGATGGGGTTTCACCATGTTGGCCAGGATGGTCCGGATCTGTTGACCTTGTGATTTGCCTGCCTCAGCCTCCCAAAGTGCTGGGATCACAGACGTGAGCCACTGCGCCCAGCCCAGAATCTGGGTCTTAACCAGATTTGCCATTATAAAATGAAATGAAACCAAAACCACCAGTCAATATCTGTAGCAGTGTTATTGTTGGGGAGCATGCACGTTTGTTTGAGCTTACTTATATATACAGAGCTGTTTAGCTTAATCTTTAAATTGAAAATTTTTAGTATTTTTAGAATGTTTTAGATACTTTGATGAATAAATTTTGTGTTAACAAACTACTATTAATAAAACTTATAAATTAAATATTTCTGAACACATTGGCAGAGGTAAATGATAAAGTTATATTCACACAATTAGTTTTTCTTGCACAGAATTGACATTTTGTCAAAAAGTTAAAATCTTTGAAATGTGTTTTCTGTCCTCATCTTTCCCCTTTTGAGCATTTTTCCCCCTGGGTTGGTTATAAAATATTCCCTAACTTCAGGCATCTGGTTAAGTTTTGGGTTTTCTCCCTTCCTACCAACTCATATGGATTGGTAATGATCTGATAGAAGACAATTGCCAAAAATCAATCAAATATGTTTTAAATGAAACTTCTCCAATATAATATTCATATTAATCCTTCTTTAATTGCTGAATGAGTAATAATTGTTCACTGACCCTTAAAATCCTAAAACTTAATCAGCTCACTGGAGTGGATGAATGGATGTTTGTCTAGATGAGAATGCTTAAGGTCTACTTCAAGGAGTTCATAATAGTAAAAATGTCCTTTTCTTCCATCAGAAACTTCATCCTGGATCTTTTCATCCTTGTTTTTCTACTAGCTCTCCTTCTCCAAATACACTGACTTGGAACCCCAGTTTCAGTGGTGGACTGCGTGGATTTGATTCTAAGCTATGCTATAATGAGAAAGTAGCTCTAACCCTATTCTCATTTTCTTCACCTGTAATATAGAAATCATCATCAGACAATATACAGATAGGGGCCAGTTATTTCACAGATAATAATAGGTGAAAATGGAGAGTATGTGGGTGTAGGCATGGAAAAGTGAGTTTAAATGGTTTCAGGAGTCTGTGGAAATTGTCTTTGGGTGATTCAATGTTCTCAGGGAAGCACACCCAAAAAGACATTGAGGATTTCTGGGGAAGTGTTAGGGATTAGAGACAGGATAAGATACAAAACTAGGAAAATTAGAGAGTGAATAGATTGGAACATATGTAGTATGATTGATTGATAGGCGGCACTCAGATTCTCAGTTTCAAGTGGGATATTTTTCAATTTGATCCATATAGCTAGTTGCTCAAATATATGTGGGGATTTGGTGGAAATTTGGATCTAACCAGGGTTATTTTCCTGGTTAGATTCAGCAAAGTGAAAGAGAAACAAGGAAGTTGAAGTTTCCTGGGAATGGTTGGCCACGGAATTTAGGCAGGAGAACAGGAAATAGAGTACATCAGTAGGTAAGGGTCATTATAAATATGATAAAATAATAGTTTGGAGGTCTCAGAGAGATTGAAAAATTTTATGTCAGCGTATGAAAGGGAATGATTAAAGGAGGAGTTCAGAGAATGGGATGAATGAAATTGTGACTACAGAGGAGTTGCTATTATAAGTAACGACGATGCTTCACTCAGTTCCTCTGGAAGTGTGGTCCCTGTGCTAGCAGCAACAGCATCACCTGGGAACTTACTAGAACTGCATATTCTCAGGTTACACCCCCAGATCTTCCAAATATGAAATTCCAATAGCAGGTCTCAGCAATCTCTTATTGTAACACAACTGTAGGCAATTTTGAGGCACACAGTAGTTAGCACAACTGGTCTAGTGTATGTCTTATTTGGTCTTCCTCCCCGGTTCACAGTACAGAGCTCCTAAAACTTGAAATTTCCTGATAGAGATGAGAGGACCATCCTTTACTAGTCATAAGTCCCTCTTAGCCATACCTGAGTTTATGCTATTGACATGACATGAGTGGTGGTTGGAGACCCGTATGGCTTCAGGGTGGGTGCTTGACACCAGAAACATGAAGGCATAACTAGATGGTTAAAACTGTCAGCCCTCTCCTCCATCACCTCTGAGGTGCTGGGAGGGTGATACAATGATATACTTAGAGGTCATATGGCAGCTTTGTGCCCCTTTTCACCATACCTGGCCCTATGTGTCTCTTCTATTTGACAGTTCCTGATTTGTATCAGACAGTAACTGTAAGCAAAGTGCTTTCTTGGGTTCTGTGAGCCATCTTAGCAAATTATAGAACCTGGGGAAGGAATCCATGGAAGTGCTAATTTATAGCCAGTTGGTCAGGAGTATGGCAGGCCCACAACTCCTCTCTAATGGTGGGGGGGTGGCAGTCTTGTGGTCCTGAACCCTGAACTTGTGGGATCTGATGCTATCTCCAGATAGATAGTCTCAGGATTGAATTGAATTGTAGGACACCATTTGGTGTCCTGAGAGTTGAAAAATTGATTGGGGTGAGACTAAACCAACAAATTTCATCTCAGAAGTTTGAGTAGAAATAATTCTGTTGGAAAACATTATCGTTAGATCAAAGGTGTTAATAGAACTGAGAGATCAAAATGGCAAAGAGTCATCTATGATTACACATTGTTGACATAAACTAGAATTAAGACAAGAGTATGTCAAAGAGAGTTACATTGAGCCAGGGATAAAAATAGTCAATTGATTGATTAGAATTTAGTAAATGCTATTTTTTGAAAAATTAATATTTAGTTAATTAATGGAGATACTTAATTATCTCCATTTTGACTTTAAATTTAAAACTAAAAAATTGATATTTTATCTATTTTCCATAAATGGAAATTGAAAAGCAATAGCAAAATGCTTCGACAGAAAATCTGCCCTTCTTATTCCCAAGAGGAAGAATGGCCAACTACCTTAAGAATAAGTTAGAAAAACTTTCATAATTTTTTAAGTTGCCATATTTTATAGCTTTGAACAAGTTGAATTATTAACTAGACTGCCCAGGGAATGGAGCCATCTAATATAATTTCCTTACTATTTAGATAAAATCTTTGTTGTTGAAAATCTTAATCATTTTTAATGATCCTGTTTTCAGAGCCTGATATTAATGATTCGTGAAACTCATTAAATGCAGTTATGCATCTGATTTGAAAATCATGAGGGAGATTTTTGGTCAGATATGCATAGCAAATCTATGTCACTAGACATAAGTCCCTTCTACCCATGCCACAACCTTTATGTCTACTCTTGAATTGAGGTTTTGCTACGTTTTATTTTTGAGGTTTAAGAATTATTCATTTAACTGTCGGAAAATTGTGTTTCTCTTGTTAGAATAGAGCCCAATTTATCCTTTCTATTTTTCATGGAGACATGAAAGTATGTGAATTTGCAATCAGAGAAACCTGAGTTCCACCATGCTTTCTTCCTCTTGCAAGCCATGAAATCCACAGTGGGTTAGTGGATATTACAAACCTCTGGTCCCACCTTATTAAGATGGAAAAAAATAAGACTAATTGAAAGAACAAATGTGGTAATGAGAAGAAATGGTATCAATAAAATTCCTGGAACACAGTAAGTTCTAACAAATGCTAGTTCTTTTCTTTCATAATTCAAAATCTAAATAGAAGCCAGTTGGTAATTCCAAGATAATAGTATGAAGACAAAAAAAATGTTTGTTAACTGACCTTCAACCATTGAGACCTTATCTTATAGGAAGCAAAATTAACAAATATTTTCTCCCTTCTACAAATGTATACCCTCTGAGAAAGAGAGACAGTGTTCCAATCAAGACGATGACAGTATTCTGTGCACACATAGGAAAGGAAGAAGAATCAGAGAGAACCTTTAAAAAGACAATTTTAGATAGGCATCCTATTTTTACCGGCAATAACATTTTTTAGAACTTACGGCATACAAAATAGACCTTAAATGGACTCAGTGTTGAGAAATTTTTATAAGGCTGCTTTATTTTCTTCTATGGTAAATCTAGGAACCAATAAAATAGCTTTGATAATTCACTCATTACATTCTTTCCTAACTAAACTATTTACATTATAAACTTTGTTGATATGCTGTGCTTTTGCATTAATAATTCTCATGTGTCTCATTTGTGAATACATGAAAACTAGTTGTAAAATAAGGAAAATGTAATTTTGAAACATCTTCAAAAACAGTTGCATAATTTAACAAATGTTTATAAATTTTCGTCCTTACTCTAAAACCATAGATATCCTAAAATTGACTGAAGGTAAAATGATTTTTAAAGAACTGGATTTCTCACCATGAGTTATTTTATCTCCATACAAACTGTGGTAGTGTTATACAATGGTTAAGAAGAAATTACTTAAAAATGAGAATAAAGATACAGCTTATTAACACTTCATTTTGTGGATGAGACCTGAAAAATTAAACTTTTCTTCTAGAGACAAGTTGTAGTTGTGTATATAGAGTGTGAATAGATAGTGTCCATATTTTACTGTCATTATTTAAACAGAAACATGCAATTTGCACTTCAAAAACCTACTACAAATTAACTGTGTCATTTGGAAGTGTCAAAATTATCTCATTAATGATCAGATAGGCTTTTGGCTCATTGTAATGAGATGTTCCTATAAACCTAATTTGAAAGACAAAGACAGAGTTTGGAGTCTTTAATTCTTGGTAAAAATCAGTAGCTCTATTTAGGGCTATATTTGCAAAATACTATTTCAACTCAAGCATATTTTTATTTACAAGGCACTTCACAAATGTTGACCACAAAGATGTTTCTACCTAGCAGAAATAATTATAGTTACATATAGTTGTCTAGGAATATCTTAAACATGGGGTATTAAAATAACTTTCAAGAACAAGAAGAAATGTTACACCAGGCATTTTTGCAACTAGTGCTCTATTTCAGTGCAATATTTGTGGCAATTAAAAAACATAAATGGCTTGGATATATAGCTAAGTTATCAAAGGAAAAATATGCAAAGGCATGATTATTTTATAAATGTGCCACATATGTGACTTGAGGTACAAATCCTCTAAGTTTAAAATTGTCTTTTTAAAAAAGAAATCAAAACAGACAAGTGGGCAATGAGTTATGGATACTATTATAGGGTACCCTGATAAACTAGTAAGAAGACGACTTTTGGTACTGAAAATTCCAATTAACCACATGCCCCCATTAAGGCCATGATCACTGCCAATTTTTACTCACAAAGGCTGGAGCTAGAGTTATATGGAATTCCATATGTATCTAAACCATAGATTTATCAATTATCACTTAAATACAACTTGGAAGACACTATCCAAAATTTGTAGGGCTTGGCCTTATTCTAGAGAAACATACACTGGAATAGGCAGTTGGATTTTAAATTCAGTCTTAAATCTGTTGAAAATAATGCATTTTTTTCTCAGAGATGAGATATTGTTCAACTCTTTTGACTTATTTTAGATTTGATAATATACAGTTCAAACACCATGGAGATTTACTAATCTGAATGAACACATACCAAATTTGTCTTTGCTCCAGTCTCGAAATTTGAGATTAATTCTAGCTGCTGAAGAAATTTTCCAGTGTTAGGAGTATGCTTCAATGCTAGTGACCGGTACTACTTTCTGGTAAACTATAGATGACATGTGTGCTTTCATTGCCTAAACTCACTTTGTAGAACACCATTAAATGAAAATCATCACCAGCAATTTGGGAGGCTAAGGCGGGCAGATCATTTGAGGTCAGGAGTTTGAGACGAGCCTGGCCAACATGATGAAACCCCGTCTCTACTGAAAATACAAAAACTTATCCAGGCATGGCGGGATGCACCTGGAATCCCAGCTACTTGGGAGGCTGAGGCAGGAAAATCGCCTGAACCCAGGATGTGAAGGTTGCAGTGAACAGAGATGTTGCCATTGCACTCCAGCCTGGGCAACAGAGTGAGACTTCATCTCCAAAAAAAGGAAAAAATGAGAGAGAGAGAGAAAAAAAATTATCAGTGTTCAGTGACTCTTTGTTTTTCATGCTGATAAACTATTACGCAGAAAAAGAAAATTTTCATGCTGATAAACTATTACACAGAAAAAGAAATGTATCCATTATGGACAATTAAAAGGGCTATACAATCTCTCTCATTGTATGATTCTAGTTTTCTTTATTTTTCTTTTCTTTTGTTCTTTTTTTTTTTTAATACAGGATCTCACTCTCTCACCCAGGCTGGAATGCAGTGGCTCTATCTTGACTCACTGAAACCTCAGCCTCCTGGGTTCAAGCTATTCTCCTGCCTTAGCCTCCTGAGTAGCTAGGAATAAAGGCATTCACCACCACGCCAGCTAATTTGTGTATTTTTTTAATACAGGTGGCGTTTTGCCATGTTGCCCAGGCTGGTCTTGAACTCCTGACCTCAAATGATCCTCCCACCTCGGCCTCCCTAAGTGTTGGCATTACAGGCATAAGCCACCATGCTTGGCCTGATTCTGTTTTTTAACACAATTCTTATTACTTCTGTTTCAATTTTACAAAGCCATAGGTTTTTAATCTGGGAAACCTTTGAGAAAACATCCAGATAAATTTATAAATAGAAAAATAAATTCAGACACATATAATTAAGTTTATGATCTAACAAGTGGGTGACAACCGAAAACTTTCCAAGTTCCATAAACTGAAGTGAAAGGATCACTTTCCTGAAAATATTACAAAGGCTTGATAATTACCTGGATTGTACTAAAACCTACACAATCTAGTATATTCTATAGCAGCAATTCATAAAGACAGCTTCACTTACCATGTAGAATTTATACATACATTAAATTTAAGGAATGCATTACTTGCTATTGGAGTAGGATAATAAACTCCCAGCAGAACTGATTTTCATGAATGCCTATTAAACTATCATTGATGTAGAAATTAAACAATATATTAAGCTATTCAGACCCAGATTGTGAGAGACAGAGAAAAACTTCAAAAAAGTTCAGCTACCAAATCCCTTCCTCAATAGCTCTTTGAGTCTCAAGACAGTTTCAACCACACACATCCTCAGAGTCTTATGGTCCAAACAACATTTGACTGCAGCTCTAAAGTAAGCAAACATTTGAAAAGAAACTCAAAGATCTATACCTGTAGTTATGGTCAAGGAAGTCCACCTACTGGTGGGTGAGCATGGCAAGGATAGGGACTAAGCCAAATGATGGGTTTACCAAAACAGAAACAAGAGAAGTCATTGGAAGCACAGTCCAGGTTATAACAGGAGCCCAGGCACTTGATGTGGGAACCCTATTTGTCTCATTCAGCACCTAGAGTTTTAACGTCCTATGAGGCACAGCTAATGCCCTTCATTATTTTTTTGTAATTGACTGCATAGTTTAGAACTATGCCTTGAATTTAATATCTATCTGTTGAATAAATGAATTAATAATGATGAAAATCTGTCCACAGGTTATGTGCAGTACTGAAGAGCAACTTCAGCTATTGAGGTATGTATCAGAAGTCTTACTCTCCAAAAAGCCTCTGGTTAGTTACTGATATACGTTGCTGATAATTTCACTCTCACAATGTAGGGGAAGCAGGAATGTTATCTGGCCTCTTGGCTCCACTTCCTTTGCCTTCCACAGATCTCTCTGCTGGTTCACAGAGGAACACTTTCGTGGCTCTCAGTTCATTTTGCAATTCTGCTAGAATCTCATTCCATCCTCAGTTGTAACTACCTTGTCCTTCACCCAACGCTTATTTACGGAGGGACAGATAGCAAGAAGAAATCGCACTCTGGATTACAAAGTGGGAAGACACACCCCTTGGCCAGAATGCCTGCCTCCTATGTTCATGAAGGATATTTCTAATTGATCTCGGCACTCTTTTCCATTGAGCCCATGTCCCAAATTGGCCGTGAGTTAGGGAGAGGACTCTAGAGTGGGAAAGCTGTACCCAAAACTTCCCTAATCTGACTATCAAGCCTAAAAAATTAAACTTTCAATTCAACATCCCTTGTTTCTCCAACTTGGAGTGCCTGATGGTGTGGGAAGCCCCTACTCATAAAAATTCATAGTTGAAGATTGTTGGTAATTTTGCCCAACCTCCTTCTTTTCTTTTTATTCTACTTTAAGTTCTAGGGTACATGTGCACAACGTGCAGGTTCATTACATATGTATACATGTGACATGTTGGTGTGTTGCACCCATTAACTCGTCATTTACATTAGGTATATCCCCTAATGCTTTTCCTCCCCTAGCCCGTCACCCCACAACAGGCCCCGGTGTGTGATGTTCCCCTTCCTGTGTCCGTGTGTACTCATTGTTTAATTCCCACCTATGAGTGAGAACATGTGGTGTTTGTTTTTTTGTCCTTGTGATAGTTTGCTGAGAATGATGGTTTCCAGCTTCATCCTTGTCCCTACAAAGGACATGAACTCATCATTTTTATGGCTGCATAGTATTCCATGGTGTATATGTGCCACATTTTCTTAATCCAGTCTATCATTGTTGGACATTTGGGTTGGTTCCAAGTCTTTGCTATTGTCAGTAGTTCCTCAATAAACTCCTTCTTTCTTTGCCTAGTTACACCTCAATGCAACCTGCTGGCAGGCCAGCCTTAAGCCCAGCAGTCCAACCATGCATCTAAGCTGAGTTCTCATCAGAGCCAACTTCAATTATAAACAACTGAGATGATGCCAGAGGCCAGAATCCCTGAGAACCCAATTTGCTGTCATCACCACAGCTGAAACAAGGCGCTTGGCATCTAGAAAAGCTGATCTGTAGGAAATTTCCAATAGAGTTCAAGTTTTTCTAAGTTTAAAGTGTACAATATCATCAAGGTGAGACACTCAAGATAAAACTAGGCTTGTGTTTAAATATAATAAAAATATTTGAAGAATAGTAAGAGTGGTGACTACTTTTACACAGGAATGTTTCAAATAAATTGTTTTTTTCTTGTGCCTTTTAAATTTTGTGATTTGTCAATGAGATGCTGACATGTTTTTAATGAAGCATGCCTTGTAAAATAATAAGTGAATGAAAACTACACAGTAATATTTACATCAACAAAGCTAGAAGAAGACTGTATGTCTCAAGAGGCTCCATCATCTACCCAGTGGCCACTTCACCAAATTAAGATCCAAATACCAAAAAGAAAAGTAATTAAAATTTGTGTTGTATGCCTTATAAGACCAAACCTATAAAATGAGGGGAAACTTCACAATTACTTGTAATTTGCTCTGTGGAATTGTAACAGATGGATTATAAAGATGATTCCATGATAAACATGTAAATGTGGTTACTACCTTCTGTGCTTTCTTGGTTCATATTTTTATTGTTTTTTTCTTTATAAACAGATAATTCATTCTTATCTATGGCAATGCAAACTTTTCAGATGTATTGAATATGTCATAGTGTTTTTCTATTGTAGGCATCTCTAAAAAAGTTATAGAAAACAAACAGAGAAAAGTCTGGTGTTGGAAAGGAGAGAGAAATAAAGCTTGTAAAGGAATGAAGATTAGAGCTTTCTGGAGATAAAAATTCTTAGAAGATACAAAAGCTAGTTACTGAATTAGATGAAGGTTCTTTTTCAGTTTTTCCCAGTTGTTCACCTCTTAGAAGGCACATATTCACAGCAGAAAAGAAAAATGTGTTAAAAAGAAAATACCTCGGTGTAGTGAGACTGTAATTTCATGAGGGCATTACTGAAGACTCACTTTTTCCAGCATCACTCAGCATGGTATTATGCATGTGTGTAATGTAAAGGAAAGTGAATACGCATTCTTGGATGGGTGATCAAATCGTAATTCCAGAATATAATCAGAAGCTGATTCATTATCCTCTTGAGATTTCACAATCTTTTCATCAGGAATTAAAATTCAGAAGAGGGTAAATGTATCTAATCAGTTGAAAGTTAAAAATTAGAGGATGGAGGCAACATGGCCGAATAGGAACAGCTCCAGTCTACAGCTGCCAGCGTGAGTGATGCAGAAGACAGGTGATATCTGCATTTCCAACTGAGGTACCAGGTTCATCTCACTGGGGAGTGCTGGACAGTGGGTGCAGCGCACCATGCATGAGCCAAAGCAGGGAAAGGCATCACCTCACCTGGGAAGCAGAATGGGTCAGAGAATTCCCTTTCCTAGTCAAAGAAAGGGGTGACAGATGGCACCTGGAAAATCAGGTCACTCCCACCCTAATACTGCGCTTTTCCAACAGGCTTATCAAATGGCACACCAGGAGATTGTATCCAGCACCTGGCTTGGAGGATCCTACACCCACGGAGCCTCACTGTTTGCTAGCACAGCAGTCTGAGATCAAACTGCAAGGTTACAGTGGGGCTGGGGGAGGGGCTCCCGCCATTGCTCAGGCTTGAGTAAGTAAACAAAGCAGCCAGGAAGTTCGAACTGGGTGGAGCCTAACACAGCTCAAGGAGGCCAGCCTGCCTCTGTAGGCTCCACCTCTGGGGGCAGGACACAGACAAACAAAAGACAGCAATACCCTCTGCAGACTTAAATATCCCTGTCTGACAGCTTTGAAGAGAGTAGTGGTTCTCCCAGCATGCAGCTTGAGATCTGAGAATGGGCAGACAGCCTCCTCATGTGGGTTCCTGACCCCTGAGTAGCCTAACTGGGAGGCACCCCCCAGTAGAGGCAGACTGACATCTCACATGGCCGGGTACCCCTCTGAGTCAAAACTTCCAGAGGAACGATCAGGCAGCAGCATTTGCAGTTCACCAATATCCACTGTTCTGCAGCCACCGCTGCTGATACCCAGGCAAATAGTGTCTGGAGTAGACCTCCAGTAAACTCCAACAGACCTGCAGCTGAGGGCCCTGACTGTTAGAAGGAAAACTAACAAACAGAAAGGACATCCACACCAAAACCCCATCTGTATGTCACCATCATCAAGGACCAAAGGAAGATAAAACCACAAAGATGGGAAAAAACAGAGTAGAAAACCTGGAAACTCTAAAAATCAGAGTGCCTCTCCTCCTGCAAAGGAATGCAGCTCCTCACCAGCAATGGAACAAAGCTGGACGGAGTATGACTTTGACGAGTTGAGAGAGAAAGGCTTCAGAAGATCAAAGTACTCCGAGCTAAAGGAGGAAGTTCGAACCAGTGGCAAAGAAGTTAAAAACTTTGAAAAAAAATTAGACGAATGGATAACTAGAATAACAAATGCAGAGAAGTCCTTAAAGGACCTGATGGAGCTGAAAACCATGGCACAAGAACTACATGACAAATGCATAAGCCTCAGTAACCGATGTGATCAACTGGAAGAAAGAGTATCAGCGATGGAAAACGAAATGAATGAAATAAAGCATGAAGAGAAGTTTAGAGGAAAAGGAATAGAAGAAATGAACAAAGCCTCCAAGAAATATGGGACTATGTGAAAAGACCAAATGTATGTCTAATTGGTGTACCTGAAAGTGACGGGGAGAATGGAACCAAGTTGGAAAACACTCTGCAGGATATTATCCAGGAGAACTTCCCCAATCTAGTAAGGCAGGCCAACATACAAATTCAGGAAATACAGAGAATGCCACAAAGATACTCCTCGAGAAGAACAACTCCAAGACACATAATTGTCAGATTCACCAAAGTTGAAATGAATGAAAAAATTTTAAAGGCTGCCAAGAGAAAGGTCAGGTTACCCACAAAAGGAAGCCCATCAGACAATCTGCTGATCTCTCCTCAGAAACTCTACAAGCCAGAAGAGAGTGGGGGCCAATATTCAACATTCTTAAAGAAAATAATTTTCAACCCAGAATTTCATATTCAGCTAAACTAGGCTTCATAAGTGAAGGAGAAATAATATACTCCACAGACAAGCAAATGCTGAGAGATTTTGTCACCACCAGGCCTGCCCTAAAAGAGCTCCTGAAGGAAGCACTAAACATGGAAAGGAACAACTGGTACCAGCCACTGCAAAAACATGTCAAATTGTAAAGACCATCAAGGCTAGGAAGAAACTGCATCAACTAACGAGGAAAATAACCAGCTAACATCATAATGACAGGATCAAATTCACACATAACAATACTAAGCTTAAATGTAAATGGGTTAAATGCTCCAATTAAAAGGCACAGACTGGCAAATTGGATAAAGAGTCAAGACCCATCAGTGTGCTGTATTCAGGAAACCCTTCTCACCTGCAGAGACACACATAGGCTCAAAATAAAGGGATGGAGGAAGATCTACCAAGCAAATGGAAAACAAAAAAAGGCAGGGGTTGCAATCCTAGTCTCTGATAAAACAGACTTTAAACCACCAAAGATCAAAAGAGACAAAGAAGGCCATTACATAATGGTAAAGGGATCAATTCAACAAGAACTAACTATCCTAAATATATATGCACACAATACAGAAGCACCCAGATTCATAAAGCAAGTCCTTAGTGATCTACAAAGTGACTTAGACGCCCACAAAATAATAATGGGAGACTTTAACACCCCACTGTCAACATTAGACAGATCAACGAGACAGAAAATTAACAAGGATATACAGGAATTGAACTCAGCTCTGCACCAAGCAGACCTAATAGACATCTACAGAACTCTCTATCCCAAATCAATGGAATATGTATTCTTTTCAGCACCACACCACACCTATTCCAAAATTGACCACATAGTTGGAAGTAAAGCACTCCTCAGAAAATGTAAAAGAACAGAAAGTATAACAAACTGTCTCTCAGACCACAGTGCAATCAAACTACAACTCAGGATTAAGAAACTCACTCGAAACCACTCAACTACATGGAAACTGAACAACCTGCTCCTGAATGACTACTGGGTACATAAGGAAATGAAGGCAGAAATAAAGATGTTCTTTGAAACCAACAAGAACAAAGACACAACATACCGGAACCTCTGGGACACATTCAAAGCAGTGTGAAGAGGGAAATTTACAGCACTAAATGCCCACAAGAGAAAGCAGGAAAGAAATAAAATTGACATCTTAACATCACAATAAAAAGAACTAGAGAAGCAAGAGCAAACACATTCAAAAGCTAGCAGAAGGCAAGAAGTAACTAAGATCAGAGCAGAACTGAAGGAAATAGAGACACAAAAAACCCTTCAAAAAATCAATGAATACAGAAGCTGTTTTTTGAAAAGATCAACAAAATTGACAGACCACTAGCAAAACCAATAAAGAAGAAAAGAGAGAAGAATCAAATAGATGCAATAAAAATTGACAAAGGGGATATCACCACCAACTCCACAGAAATACAAACTACAATCAGAGAATACTATTAACACCTCTACACAAATAAACTAGAAAATCTAGAAGAAATGGATAAATTCCTTGACACATATACTCTCCCAAGACTAAACCAGGAAGAAGTTGAACCTCTGAATAGACAAATAACACTCTCTGAAATTGAGGCAATAATTAATAGCTTACCAACCAAAAAAAGTCCAGGACCAGATGGATTCAAAGCCGAATTCTACCAGTGGTACAAGGAGGAACTGGTACAATTCCTTCTGAAACTATTCCAATCAATAGAAAAAGAAGGAATCCTCCCTAACTCATTTTATGAGGCCAGCATCATCCTGATACCAAAGCCTGGCAGAAACAAAACAAAAAAAGGAGAATTTTAAACCAATATCCTTGATGAACATTGATGCAAAAATCCTCAATAAAATACTGGCAAACCAAATCCAGCAGCACATCAAAAAGCTTATCCACCATGATCAAGCGGGTTTCATCCCTGGGATGCAAGGCTGGTTCAACATATGAAAATCGGTCAATGTAATCCAGCGTATAAACAGGACCAAAGACAAAAAACACATGATTATCTCAATAGATGCAGAAAAGGCCTTTGACAAAATTCAGCAAACCTTCATGCTAAAAACTCTCAATAAATTAGGGATTGATAGGATGTATCTCAAAATAATAAGAGCTATCTATGACAAACCCACAGCCAATATCATACTGAATGGGCAAAAACTGGAAGCATTCCCTTTGAAAACTGGCACAAGACAGGGATGCCCTCTCTCACCACTCCTATTCAACATAGTGTTGGAAGTTCTGGCCAGGGCAATCAGGAAGGAGAAGGAAATAAAGGGCATTCAATTAGGAAAAGAGGAAGTCAAATTGTCCCTGTTTGCAGATGACATGACTGTGTATGTGGAAAACCCCATCGTCTCAGCCCAAAATCTCCTTAAGCTAATAAGCAACTTCAGCAATGTCTCAGGATACAAAATCAATGTGCAAAAATCACAAGCATTCTTATACACCAATAACAGACAAACAGGGAGCCAAATCATGAGTGAACTCCCATTCACAATTGCTTCAAAGAAAATAAAATACCTAGGAATACCACTTACAAGGGAAGTGAAGGATCTCTTCAAGGAGAACTACAAACAACTGCTTAATGAAATAAAAAAGGATACAAACAAATGGAAGAACATGCCATGTTCATGGGTAGGAAGAATCAATATCGTGAAAATGGCCATACTGCCCAAGGTAATTTATAGATTCAATTCCATCTCCATCAAGCTACCAATGACTTTCTTCACAGAATTGGAAAAAAACTACTTTAAAGTTCATATGGAACCAAAAAGAGCCCACATTGCCAAGTCAATCCTAAGCCAAAAGAACAAAGGTGGAGGCATCATGCTACCTGACTTCAAACTATACTACAAGGCTACAGTAACCAAAACAGCATAGTACTAGTACCAAAACAGAGATATAGACCAATGGAACAGGACAGAGCCCTCAGAAATAATGCCACATATCTACAACTATCTGATCTTTGACAAACCTGACAAAAACAAGAACTAGGGAAAGGATACCCTATTTAATAAATGGTGCTGGGAAAACTGGCTAGCCATATGTAGAAAGCTGAAACTGGATCCCTTCCTTACACCTTATACAAAAATTAATTCACGATGGATTAAAGACTTACATGTTAGACCTAAAACCATAAAAACCCTAGAAGAAAAACCAGGCAATACCATTCAGGACATAGGCATTGGCAGAGACTTCATGTCTAAAACACCAAAAGCAATGGCAACAAAAGCCAAAATTGACAAATGGGATCTAATTAAACTAAGGAGGTTCTGCACAGCAAAAGAAACCACCATCAGAGTGAACAGGCCACCTACAGTATGGGAGAAAAGTTTTGCGACCTCCTTATCTGACAAAGGGCTTATATCCAGAATCTACAATGAACTCAAACAAATTCACAAGAAAAAAACAAACAACCCCATCAAAATGTGGGCAAAGGAAATGAACAGACACTTCTCAAAAGAAGACATTTTGCAGCCAAAAGACACATGAAAAAATGCTCATCATCACTGGCCATCAGAGAAATGCATATCAAAACCACAATGAGATACCATCTCACACCAGTTAGAATGGCCATCATTAAAAAGTCAGGAAACAACAGGTGCTGGAGAGGATGTGGAGAAATAGGAACACTTTTACACTGTTGGTGGGACTGTAAACTAGTTCAACCATTGTGGAACTCGGTGTGGTGATTCCTCAGGGATCTAGAACTAGAAATACCATTTGACCCAGCCATCCCATTGCTGGGTATATACCCAAAGGATTAAAATCATGCTGCTATAAAGACACAAGCACATGTATGTTTATTGTGGCACTATTCACAATAGCAAAGACTTGGAGCCAACACAAATGTCCAACAATGATACATTGGATTAAGAAAACGTGGCACATATAAAACATGGAATACCATGCAGCCATAAAAAATGTTGAGTTCATGTCCCTTGTAGGGACATGGATGAAGCTAGAAACCATCATTCTCAGCAAACTATTGCAAGGAAAAAAACCAAACACCACATGTTCTCACTCATAGGTGGGAATTGAACAATGAGAAAACATGGATGCAGGAAGGGGAACATCACACACTGGGGACAGTTGTGGGGTGGGGGGAGGGGGGAAGGATAGCATTAGGAGATATACCTAATGTTAAATGACGAGTTAATGGGTACAGCACACCAACATGGCCCATGTATACATATCTAACAAACCTGCACGTTGTGCACATGTACCCTAAAACTTAAAATATAATAATAAAAAAAATTAACAGGAGACTTTTATACAGATAAATTTGCTTTGCATCATGATCAGCACTAAAGAGCATCATAGATTTAAACCATATTTTCACAGTTAAAACAATGTAACCAAATATGCAATATATTATGTAACATTCTACAAGATGTTTTCAAACATGCAAACTGACCTTTAAAACAATTTTGCATAAAATAACATTTCTAGGTAAGAGAAAATACAGACATGTGGTTAGGGCAAAATATTTCTGTTCAAATTACAAAATACTGAATGACAAATCACAGGATAGAAAAGAATTATATTGTACCTGGAATTTGAAGTCTTCAAATTTATTTAGATATACGTATCTATATGTATTAATAGAGACATATTTAACTGATTATAAGTTTAGAACATTTATATTTTAAAGATGTCATTCTTTAAAAATTATTAATATCTACAGGATTGATACAGATATTTTAATTTTAAACAAATATTTTTCACTAATGTGACCAGTATTTATGTCCTATTTCATTAAACAGACATTTCAAGATTTTTTAGAGTTAATTTTTAAAAATTAAGTATCACAAATATTTCTGAAGTACTACCTTAAAAAATAAAACTCTTTCCTAGCTTTTCATATAGTTAAACATTTTCATAATGACTAAAAAGATAAAAATAAATTAGCAACCATAATTAAATTAGAAT
Source organism: Homo sapiens (assembly GCF_000001405.40). Lineage (NCBI taxonomy): Eukaryota > Metazoa > Chordata > Mammalia > Primates > Hominidae > Homo > Homo sapiens. The sequence goes on from NC_000021.9 coordinate 9,272,742, forward strand.
TCTACTTTTTATATCAGATGAAATACTACATAAAATGTCCAGAAAATCTAGTGTTAATGAGGCTGTGCAGCCTGGACATTTGATGTCTCATCTGTGGGAATGTGAACTAACCCAACCATTCTGAATAATTATTGACTCTGTGTGTTAACAGTCTAGAGTCCTGAAACAAGGATCTTAATTCTAAAATAAAATCCTATTCTAAGAATATACCAAGGGTTGATAATCAAGGAAGTTTCAAAGTTATAGAGAAGAACCTTCATCCTAGCATTATATATGTAATCATCCATATAAACCACATAGTGTTGAATGAAATTACAGAAAAACAAAGAGCCTACAGAATATGTTTCTCTTTGTGTACAACAGTAAATGTACACATCTATCCATGTAAAATTTTACATCTCAGGAAGATAGGTACCAACATGTTAACATGCTATATCTATAAGATAAGAAATTTTACTTTCCTACAATTTCATACACACACACACTCTCAAACATACATACCCACACACCGAGGATATATACACACACAAATATATATATAAACATACATGTTTATATAGGTACACACACACATACATATACACAGATGGTCAACAAATTATAATGGTTCAATTTATGATTTTTTTTACTTTATGATGAAGCAAAAGTGATAGCTTTGAATAGAATATAACCATTCTGCTTTTCACTTTCAGTACAATATTCAACAAATTACATAAAATATCCAAAACTTTATTATAAAGTGGGTTTTGTATTCAATGATTTTGCCCAATTGTCAGCTGATGTAAGTGTTCTGAGCACATTAAAGGTATGCCAGGCTAAGCTGTGATATTCAGTAAGTTAGGTATTAAATACATTTTTAACTTACTGTATTTTCAATTTATAATCAGCTTATCAAGACTTAACCCCATTGTACATTGAAAAGCATTTGTATTGCATTAAACATGTTATATATATTTTTAATTGAAATTACTGGCAACTTTTGAAAAAATGTAATGAAATAATGTGCTTTGCTATTGGTTAAAGTGTTTTTGGGCAGGGTCAGTGGCTTACACCTGTAATCCCAGCACTTTGGTAGGCTGAGGTGGGCAGATCGCTTGAGGTCAGGAGTTTGAGACCAGCCTGGCAAACAGGGTGAAACCCCATCTCTACTAAAAATACAAAAATCATCTGAGTGTGGTGGCATGTGCCTGTATTCCCAGCTACTAGGGAGGCTGAGGTGTGAGAATTGCTTGAACTAGGCAAGCAGAGGTTGCAGTGAGCCAAGATCAAGCCACTGCACTCCAGCCTGGGCAACTGAGTAAGATTCTGTCAAAAAAAAAAAAAAGAAGGAAAGAAAAGAAAAAAAGTTTTCAGCTTCAAGTAACAGAATAGTCAACTAATTAAAGAAAAAAACAAGGAGCAACTTTTACCAAATCGCACAACAAATAGATGGTATCAATGCTTACTTAATTCAACATGATCCACTTTGTGATTCTCTTATCTTTCTACCTATGTTTTCAAGATGGCTATGGCATTCCCAGCCTTACAACTTCATGTGACAAAATCCAATGGCAGGAAATAATAAGTGACGGCATTTTGGAACTTTAAGGAAAAACTTTAAGGATTGGAAAACAGGGATGCCATATGTCCAGTAACATGGGATAGCCGTTCCTAATTAAGGATTGCTGTATGTCCTGAATGACTTTCTAATGTAATGAAGGTGAATAACCTGCTTTGTTTAATTATACAATCCCAAATGTAACTGCCTAAGTGCCAAGTACTTTTGCATGGTTTTAATATGCCATGAATTTTGCAAGAATGAAACTACTATGTATATGAGAAAAGATGGTAGATTTTTTCATTTAGATACTCATTTCAGAGTCTCAATAGGAAAAACAGAACACACTCAAACTAAGATAATTTAACATGGGTTTATTTCCAAAGAGACTACTTACGAAAATGTCAGGGGAGAAGGGTGAAGGAATCACAGAAATCACACCCCACAATAACTCTGGGTTAGTAGCAGCAGGCAGAGTTCTGGGGAGTAAACTTCCCTGATCACGCAAGGAAACACTAATTTTCTTATGAAAAAGATTGGTCAAGGAGACCTAGCAGAGAGGGAGTTTAGGCAATAACCCCCAATCCCATTTCCTCCTTCCCTTTAATCTCATGAACATGCATAGAAGGCAATGAGCAAGGGAACAGATTGAGATATTCAATATGGACCATTCCACTTGGACAAAAGCCAGTAAATAGGGGAGTATAACAGGGGACAAGGGCCAAACAGAAAGTATCTATTACATTTACCAATGCAGATCAATCATGTCAAAAACAGCAATGGCAGTTTTGGCATTTGGTTATTCAATGAAACTATATTTGTAGTTTTTTATTTACAATGTTTCAAGGTATGGGCGAAGATATGAAAATATCATTATGTTCTATTTTATTTGATATGTAAATGTTCTGGCACAATTATATACATTTTGGATCATATATTGACAGTAAATTATTTCTCCTTTGTTAGCTTCAGCATAACATTAATATTTTCAACAACTTGAATGCATACATTGTGTTCTCACTAATAGTTTAGAATAGTGAAGGGGTCTTTGAAGAATTTCTTATGAAGTAGAGGCATTGGGTCAGACAGAGACGAAAACCATTGGCTTAGATTAATCACTATTTATCCTAGGGCTGAAGAGGGCCAATTGAAGACACAAATGTCCAATCCCTTTATGACCTTGGAGTTCTATGAACCAGAGAAATAGAGACTGGTTCTTAAGGAGGTAATAAGTGTGCCTTCTATGGTTTATAATAATATGCATTGTCTTAACAATCGAATACTTAAAAGTTAATGCCCTCATAATATGCAAAATTTTTAATAAGCACATTGGTCCCTGTGTTCAAGTAGTTGGTAATCAAATTAGCGAAGTATGGTAAGTCTTTTGAAGAGCATTAAACAGCAGAGAATGTAAGAAATTTGTCTCTATAATAGTGTGGGCCTTCTGTGTTTCCTAAGGGCACATTCATATGATCTAATAACTGAGCAGAGAGAAGCCTAAAGGATAGTTTTTGGTTTCATTTGTTTGTTTTTCCAATTAACATACATTTCTAGATTAAAGGTCAACTATCTTTTCCTTGGGAGTCAACTATAGGAGAAGATAGTGAAGAGGCAAGGAAAATTACAGCAGCTCAACAGCTTTACCCTGGAAATATCTGTATTGTGTACCGCTATAGCCTACCTTTATCAGTCAGATAACAATGTCAAAGAGGCAAGCTTGGCACCATTGCTCTTAGTGAATCCCTGCTGCCAGCCTTTTATCCTAAGTGCTCTCCAAAGACCCATTTAATGGACCTTCCTGAAATTGTGCTCAGGATCAATATGAGGCTCATTGATACAGCATTTTTGGAACTCACCATTTGCTTATTTATTAAACCTGGGATAGTTGCCCGACTTCTATCATCTGAAATCCTCTCCATGACTTTCAAAGTTACCAACATTGGTTCCAACATCATTCCTAGAAAACATTTCAGTGGAGTATATTTATCTGACATTTGACTGTATTTATAGCAGTAAGAATCTATGATGATTCCTCCCAAAATAATCCCACAATTACACATTTTGGGTCACCTTGAGGGTCTTATCCTTAATATCAGAGATCTGTTCTATACATTTGAGTCTTAGAAATAATTACTAGCTTCTCTCTGAATTTAACTGAGGTTCCTTACTTTTATTCAGCCTGTTACCTAAATTACATAATGTATTGAAGGCTATAAACTGTCCAAATTTCTGATTACATTGAGTTAAAAATGGGAATATGACTTTCTTTTTCTAACTTGGCAAAGATTATGTTTTTTTTCATGAAGAAATATAGGCATATTTAAACACTCAGGATCTGAGAATTTGAAATACATGAAACTTAGCAAGTGGTCTTTAAGTAGTTTTCATTTCTAAATTATAGTACATACCATTGAATGCTACAGAAGGAAAGACAATGAGGGATTACTCATAAACATTGCCTTTATGATATCCTTCCAAAGAAAACCAAGTGTCCCTGTGCTTGGACTCATAAAGCAGAAATGCTTACCTTGCTTTTATGTCACTAACAAACAATTGTGCCTAGTCATTTAATTCTAACGCATTTAAGCCATCTAGAGAGTGGAGCCCCTAGGGAAAACTACAAATGGAAAATTCATTGATTTTTGATTTTGCTTTCCTATGGATTAAATTTAACACTTTCTTGTAAATCTCTCCCTTTACAGATCATATGTGATAAATAGTTATCCAACTTTCTAGATGTCCACCCAGAGCTGCTTCCATATGAAGAGGTGGAAACGGATTCTGTGCATGATACTGGTTAGGATCGGGAACTGTTTTTTTTTAAAGGAGATTTTTAAAATTTGTTTTCCTTGTACACATAGCCTTAATATTGTGTTGCTAACTGCCCTCTGGGAACAAAGTCATACCAATCACAAATACATTGCCTAAAGTGGGATGGTTATTACTCTGCTGTGAATTGCACCTCCTATTATGTTTTAAAGATGCTACAAACTTGAGACATTACTATGTAGATGACATTCCCAGCAAATCCCCAAACAACACTTAATGAGATTTCAAATACCAGGATCATGAAACAGTAAGAGATATAAGGAAATAAAGAAAAACACAGTATATGTGTAGAAGGCATTAAAACACAAATTTTATAATTACGAATGCATATAATAAGGAACAAGTTTTATTCTAAATAGCAATTATATCAGAACTACGATACAGGGAATAAAAGTGAATATTAAGCCATTGTACCAACAATAACAGAGCCCCTTTTCTGCTGCGTGATGGAATTTAGTGTTTACTAAGGAAGAAAAAAATGCAAGATATCTTAAATTTGGTACTTTCCAACAAATTTAAGAAATGTGTACACACTTGAGGAGACTTAAGAAGTCTCTGACTAAAACACTAGAAAAGAAAAGCAGTGAAAAACCAAATAAGTATTACTCAACAATAACAACATTTGTTACTATTATATTAATATTAAACACACTATTAAGCAACAACATTTCAGTTACTCACTGAGCCCAAAGTCATTTTTCATGAACCATTCACAACACTGATAACCTATTGAAAAATGATTGAAAACAAAAAAGCTTATTTCTTTCCAAGTCCTTTTAAAGCCTTCTCTTGTGTCATTTCATATAATCCTTATAACAAATCTATGGAGTATATACTGACTTTATCTCTGTACAGAAAAGAAAACTGAATCACATTCAGAATAAGTTGCAAAGATCCCCAGATAATCAGTGTCATAGGTGAAATATGATGTCACAGTGTACTCAAGAGTAATTTAGGGAAGCAGTACAAATGATGGTTGAAAGCACAGGTTCTGGGATAAATAGCCTGAAGTCAAAATCTAGTTCATATCCTCAGTGGCTGTGTGATCTTGGGAAATTTCCCTTAACTCTCTGTGTCTTGATTTTATAGTTTCATCCATTTTTGCCTCTCATATGATCTGGTGAGCGTTACACTAGTTTATGCTTCTAGGACACTGAAAACAGTGCCTGGCTCTTGATAAATATTAACAATTTTGTTTCATTTTCTTCACCTTGAGTATTTCATGGCCAGATGGAAATCAATGTCAATATGAAAAAATGTTCATAATTCAGCAGGAAGAAATACAAAACCATATAAACAACTTTGTTTTATTGGCAAGTGTATTTGGAAGCTATGTTAAATTGAGAAGGGGAAGGGAAAGCCTCTAAGGATATCGATTAATCAATGACTGAAAGCTGATGAGACTTGTCTGGAATTTTTTTTTGGAGACTCTGAGACTTAAAATTTTGACAAAATAAGGAGATGAATTGAGTAGTGTGGAAGAGACATTTTCTGAAGTCAGCAGAGAAAGGAGAGACAAATATGGTAAGGGGAAAATGGTATGAAGTAATAATATGAATGAAGTGCTTTCTAAAGTATAACACATGTAAGTTGTGTTAAATGTAAACTATCATGATTATATCATTACTGTCTGACTGATACAACTATATCCACCTCAGTTAGCCACATAAGATCAATTTTCCTATATCTTAGAGAATACCAGTAACCTCCAGTTCAGAAACAGCATAAATATCTATCCACAGCTGAGCAGACACATACAGCTAGCTACCAGATGAAATGGGCTATATCTTCAAATACTATTGTTTTCCATTTTTTAACTGTGGCAAAACACACTCAACAATTTGCATCTTAACCACTGTTAAGTATACAATTCAGTGTCATTAAATGTATTCACAATGTTGTGCAAGCATCACCACCACCCATCTCCATAATTCTTTTTGTCTTGTAAAATTGAAATCCTGTATCCATTAAAAAGTGACTCCCCATTCCCCGCCCTCCCAGGGCAACTACAGCTTTACTTTCTGTCTTGATGAATCATACAATATCAAATGGAATTTTTAAGATATTTAAAATCTTTTGTCTGGAAGCGAAGTGGAAGTTAATATCAATGGCTATGCCTTCAGTGAGTTCTCAGACCACATTGCAATGTAGTTAACTATTTATCTTTTATTACGTTCTAGACCTATTATTTCTTTCTGGCACAAAAATATCTTCTTTGTAGATTATGGCATTTACCTCTATCTCCACACCTTTCTGCGTCTGTCATCCACAGATCATCAGCCTCTTGCTTAGTCTCCATTTAATGACAATTTCTATTTAGTATACAAGAGTCCTTCCCCCCGCAATGCAATTTCTTCACTCTGAAAAGCTCTGACTCTGGCTACTGGTCTCTGTTATGTACTCATCCCTAGAGCCATGTCTTCAAATATTTCTCAGAACTTCTTCACATCTAAAAATCTAGGATTAATGTATTGCTCTCTGATTATATTCTTCTGGTATTTCAAGTATCCTGTATAACTTCTTAATCTGCCCTTGCTTTTCTTCTACATCAAGATGTCAAGTTCATGGACTTCCCAATTAATCATTTTAAAAATTTATTTCAAGCCTTTATGAGTCACTACAATGTACATATGTTCTCAGGAATTATGACCCTACAATTTGTATATGAGAATAGTTCCTGTGTCAGGCATTATGGACATAAGAGTAAATAAATTCTAGCCCCTGCCTACAAGGAGCTAATTCCCAGCCTAAGACAGATTGTAAGCCAATAATATGCAGAGTTGTAAGTCTAAGGAAACTGATTGGGATGTACCTAATTCGAGCTGGGAATATCAGAAGAAAAACTTTTTGAAAGTCATGAGACATGAGCTGTGCCTAAAAGAATAAAAATAGAGTGAGAAATAAGAATAAATAAATTAGGGAATGAGATGGGTATAATAGTAGAAAAAGGAAATCTCTTTAGATAAAACAGGGTATGAGAGTATATAGGAGGCTTATTAACTCAGTGTGGTTGGAGAAAACAGGTTGAAAGGAGAAATAGGGGAGAAAGTTACAAACGGAATCAAATGTGTTAGTAGTTGAGGGAAAAGCAAATATTGAATACGACCCATAGATCTTGGATAAACCAGTGTTTGGTAGTAGCTTACATAAAAGGTTGTGACAAAATAACCAGAGATATGTGGAGAAAATAATAACTGAGTGTTATATTTCCTCTCAGTAGAAACCTAAAAAAAAAAATGTAATCACATACTGATCTTTTAACTGACCTCCACTTATCTTGCTGCCTGGATTGGTATATATAGTCCTCTGCCTGAAAAATTGCTCAACACTTTTGAAAGGTTGTTTCTCACTGTTACTCCCAGGCATTTCTGCTAACACCAGCTGAGTTGTAAGGGGCCCTCCAGGAGGCCTAGGTTGTTCTCCTTATCACATATATTATTTTCATTTATCAATTTACCCAGAACATCTAATGAAATATTATGGACACCAATAACATGAATACAAATACAGCTATAGTCCCTAAAAAGTAAATTGATGTCTCTTGAAAGACTGTCATGTCTTAGATGCTAAATTTGGAGTATGTGTTTCTAATAAATAAATAGCTTGCTTTAATAATTCTGATTTATGAATGTAATATAGGGGAGCAGCTTTTATTTCATCCTTAATCTTAAAAAACAATTAGCCGGGTGTGGTGGCGGGCACCTGTAGTCCCAGCTACTCAGGAGGCTGAAGCAGAAGGATGGTGTGCACCTGGGAGGCGGAGCTTGCTGTAAGCCAAAATTGTGCCACTGCACTCCAGCCTGAGTGACAGTGTGAGACTCTGTCTCAAAAAAAAAAAAAGATCATACAAGGAGTAAATGATGATTTAGCATAAAACACAACTTGAGCCTAAAACACAGATCATAGGGCTCAAACTTTGTTATTTTATGGGATTATACTAACCAGTTAATATTCAAAATTTACCATTTCAAAAGAAGAAATATTGGTCTGGGAAAATTGCCATTGCTTATACAGAAGAATGGAGGAATCTTTTTGAGAACAACAATTCTAATGATCTTCTTCATCACTGGTTCCAAAACCAAGCCCATGGAAGGCCTGCATAGGGATAATGTGGAGAACATGCAAAAGAAATACACATCACCAGCTCCTCAACTCAGAGCTCCAAGGGAATGGCCAAGGAAGCTGTATTGTCCTAAGAAATTTGAGACTGTTTTGACTTACAATAAATCCTGCTCAATCATATGTATGTATACACACACACACACACACACACACACACACACACACACACACACACAGAGAGAGACGGTGTTGTCAGTGAAGCCTCTAACATTGCATCTTGACTGGACAGATTTGACAATTAAAATGGCTGGAAGAAAATAGGTTTCATAAGTGTCACTTACTATTCACATTACACATTAAAAGGACATCTCCTAAATTAAATCTTGTCTATGATAAAAAGGCAGAAAATCATGACCCAAGGCTCATTTATAACTGCAGAAATGTTCAAGATAGACCAATGCTTGCTATGTTTAGGAAGTGACAAGAAAGTACAGGTCTTTATAATCTACCATTTTGCCCCTTTTGATACCAGGTGACCTTCATAATGCAGGCTATAGAGAATTACAAGATTTGTCAGAGATTTCAGGTCTTTGGAAAGCTATGCTCTTTCACAAGAACAGCCATGGAAACAGGAAGAAAGTCAATTCCCACTTAAGGTAATCAGAATTTACAAATATTCCTTTCTTCATTGAAATCTCAATAGGCACTTCGATATTATATTTAATTAATTCTTTTGTTACAATCATGCATCACATAACAACATTTTGGTCAAGGATAGTGCACTTGTATGACAGTGGTGCAATAAAATCATAACACTGTATTTGTACTGTACCTCTTGTATGTTTAGACATGTATAGATACACTTACTGTATAGATATAAGTAAGTATAGATATACTTGACTGTTGTGTTACAATTGCCTACAGTATTCAGTACAGTAATATGCTGCACAGGTTTGTAGCCTAGGAGGAATAGGCTATACCACCTAACCTAGGTATGTAATCAGCTATAGCATCTAGGTTTGTGTAAGTAAACTCTGTGATGTTCATACAATAATAAAATTGTCCAGCAATGCATTTCTCAGACACACCCCTGTCATTAAGTGACACATGACTGTATTAGTTAACACTATGGGAACTTCATGGGAAATGGAAACTCTAGCTCCACCATAAATAGAAACTGTTTATGTCAAAAAACACATAAAAGCATAGTTGCAAGATTACAATTCCTTCCAGATATTTCATTTAGTACCTCCACAGATCATTAACTTCCTGAATAGCATTCTTGTGTTTCCACTGCCTCACATTTGATTTCAGGTCATTCCATCAATTGTCAAAGATGCATCCAACATTAACTTTCCAACTACTGGTTTGGATTGTGTCAACATTGTCATTCTGGGCCACAACAACACAAAAGGCTAACTCAGTGAGGTAACATAGACACTGATCAGTGAGATTTTGCTGATGGGTGGTACCATTTTTTACCAAGATCAAGGGTATTCATACCTTCAGGCATCTAGATAACATTGAAAAGGGCAGGTTCATAGATAAAAAGGGAAAGAGGAAGGGTTTTTGCAGTATATATGAGCTACCATGTCTCCTGTTTAACCTGAGTCTGAAGAGATTCAAAGTGCAGGTGCCATGAATGCCTCTTTAATAGCTCCATGTCGATTGATTTTCTGGGCTACACTTCACAGCATTCAAATTGCTAAATGCATATAAACTAGTAGTGGATATTTATTACCTGGATTTGTGCTTCTGAGTGACCTTATCTATAGTTATGTGCTTCAGTGATCCAACTTGGGGTGCACTCCAAACTTTGATAAATTAAAGACCCTGCATATTCCTTGAGTAATGCTACACTGACAACTGATTTAGTGAATGCCACTGTGAAAATAATAAACCTCTTGGTGAATATATTTAGACATGTCTTGGAACCTGTACACATCTTAACCAGGGATGTTACTTGGTCTTTTTATGTTCAGGAGTGTCTGGAGATAGAAAAACATACAGGATTGTAATTGTTGCCTGTGAGACTAACAGAAAATTCAAGCTAGTGAAGTATGTTTATGCATGGCACACTTCTCACCAGCAATTTTAGGAAGTTCTACCCAAAACCCATATGTCTTTTGATATGTGGGTTACCTTGGAGAGAGAAAAAGAAACTCTGAACACAAGCATGAAATACTTTCGAATTTTATCTAGAGTTGGACTTGTCCAAAAGCTTTTGTATAAACTTGCTTGATGAGGAACTGTTGTCCACTGGTACCTTCACCGTACAATCCACACACAACCAAACTTCACAACTGGACACCTAAATTTGCACTTTGTTTGGTAAAGTTGAATGAAAAATGTTGTCTTTTAAGCTTATGTTCTCTTATGAAAGCTGTTATTAGATTAATTTTACTCCAAGATATGCCAGTTAGGAAATAACTTCCCATTTAATTTCACCAGCTCCCTGTGGGTGGACTAATTACTCATACATCACACTTACTCTGGTGGTGAAATGCCTCAAAAGAAGGTCTCCAGAGTGTTGCTTTACCTAGAAGGACAAGAATGAAGAGACATAAAAATCATTCATTAAGAAGGAAGAAGATTTTCCTTGCCTAGATTTTCACTTGTAGGATCCAATTAATTTTATCACTTAATATTTTGTCCTGGTGGGCATTCACTTTACAAATTTGTAAGGTCAGTAGAAATGGAAACTTTTGGAAATCAAACTGTAAATGTTCTGTAGACGTTGACAGAAATAGCTATTTGGAGCTGCGCTTTTACCAACTAGACACTCTGAGAAAATCTGTGAGAGGATATTTTCAGGAAGTCATTGAACCCCCTAAAAATCAAGTTTATTGCTTTTACCATAAATATAAATAATTTATTTATTATCAACCACTTTCAATATTCGAATAAGTAACTTTATTGTTTATTTCATTGACATGATCTACATAGACATGCAATTTATCTTCTTTTGCGATACATTCAGAAAATTTGCTGCCTGAAAAAGCCATGTTTTGAAATTACCACCTGTTTGATGATTGTTTTTTTATACTTTAAGTTTTAGGGCACATGTGCACAACGTGCAGTTTAGTTACATATGTATACATGTGCCATGTTGGTGTGCTGCACCCATTAACTCGTCATTTAGCATTAGGTATATCTCCTAATGCTATCCCTACCCCCTCCCCCCACCCCGCAACAGGCCCTGGTGTGTGATGTTCCCCTTCCTGTGTGCATGTGTTCTCATTGTTCAATTCCCACCTATGAGTGAGAACATGCAGTGTTTCATTTCCACTTAAGTATCTATCTCTATTTGTCCTTTATTTTCACTTCCATCCTAGCTCTATCCCTTGTCTCCTTCGTGTGTCTCAGGATAAGTGCCCTATAACATTTTATACTTCTGGAAACCCTTCAATATAATGTTATTACATGTAAAAATAAAAAGTCTGTTTTAGCGAACTCTTTCTTCACAAATTATCTTTTCCTAGTTCCCTATTAGACAATTTTTGTAGGCTCCATATGCTATTAATTTATATTCACTTTTAGAAGAATTTTCATCAAAAGCAAAAGTCTTATGTAAATTGTTTATATGCTATTTGTACTTCTGTGTATATATACACGCATAGCCACATACATATATGTAACTCCAGAGGCCTGCCTGGACTGTTAAATAACTGTATTGAACAAGAGCAAGAAAAAGCTGTTCAAATTTCAAACAACAAGTTGAACTGAAGAGCTCACATCTTTGAATGAAATAGACACTAGTAGCCTTTAAAAATTAAACATTTCTACTGTTTTAAAAAATTATAGGCATCATAGTATGAGGAAAAAATGTAATAATCCTTTTTAATTCTTGCCATTTTATTAACCACGGACTCCTTATGCCCTGACTTCATTGGTACCCCTTTGAGATTAAACAGAACAATTAATTTAAAATTCTGATAAATAAATAAATTGCACCATTTACTTGAGGTACTCTTTCACCTTTCAAGAAATATTTTGAGAATTCATTAGCTAAATATTGCTATAATGCAGGCTAGTAATAAATAGAAATAATGATTTCATTGTAAAGTTTAAACTAATGATGGTATGATCTGGAATTTTTGTTAACCTAGAAGACATAATTAGCTCTACAGGTGAAATGAAAGACAAAATCACTTCACATATTAGTAAAAAACAAATAATATAACTTTATAAGCTACTGCTGTTCTTTTGCTGTTAAGAACCAATGACATCTGTAATTAGGGAAGATTATGGAAAGGTTAAAGGTGAGAATACATGCAGTCTATATACAGGAAACCCAAACTGTTTAGGTTAAGGAAATGTCTGCAAAAGTCATATTAATTAGCAGGTTCACAGGAAACTAACATTTATTGTATAAATTCCATGGTCAAATGTATTAGGGCTCCACGCACACAACTGTGCGCCATCTATGTTACCACACAGTGCTTACTTCTTTCAGTCTTTATTCATTTCTCTCCTAATGGTCTGTATGGTATTATTACATAGTTGTAAAAACCTTCCATGAGGCAGAAATTTCATTTAATGATACAGCTTCAAAAATAATGAAAACCAGTAGAAACTTTCTATTTTTTTATGAAGCAGAATTATTGAATTTTCAGTTTCATTTATTTAATGTTACAAGAGGACAAACATATTTCTTTAATTTCTTCTTGTTATTTTTGTCTAACATCAACCAAAGCCATTTCTTTCATTTGAAGGTGAAAACTGCCCATCAAAATCCAGTTTAAGCTGAGAAACAAAGAACTAAATTTTTCATGAGACATTATACACTGCATAAATATAAAACAGGACCAGAAACAATGGTAGATTAGCAATTTTTAAAAAGACAAAAGCAGGTTATCATCAAATCAATTGTTACCAACACCCCAATTCCACCTCTAGGCCAGAAAATTAGCCACTTACCCACGGGAAAACAATGATTGAAGACAAAGTTCACCAGTGAAAGTTGGTTATTTTTTTCCATCCTTGCATCAACTAAAATGATATCTACAGTTCCTCTTAACACTTTTCTTACTTTCAAATATGTGGGTATGCTTCATTAGCTGAGGCCATGTTCCATATGTACATCTGGCTACAAGGGAAACTGGGAATGTGAGCCCTGATCCTAATGTTTGTAGAGTATTTAGAAGTTTGAGAATTCCCTCCAAATAAAGAGTTTTCTAAAACATTGTTAGACAAAAAGTTTGAATTACAAAATATGGTAGTAGCTCAGGTCTAAACCAAATGCAGGGAAAAAACTATTAACTCTAAAAAAATTAAATACACATTTGATGGTAATGAGAAACAGAAAACAGGCAGAAATAGTAGAATACTCCACTAATGATGAAGTATTTGACCATTGAATAAAGAAAATTGCAATGATTTAAATTTGCATCAAGGCAACTTCACACCTGATGACGCTTCCCAGTCTGTGCAAAATTAGATGTCTACGAGTAAAGCGGTGAGTTTTACTAGCTTGAGGAATAAGAGCACAGAGTTCCAGGCTGACAGAAAAGAGGAACTGGGAAATTTGAATGACATGGGAGGACATCTCACACAACTGAAAGTCACAGAGGAGAATATCACAGAGTAAAAATCTAAAATCAGCACTTCAACTTCATTCAAATATATGATGGCTGCTACATTTCACATTCATAAAAGGAGACTCCATAGAATCCAGCAGAAAACAACAGCTAAATTGCTAGTACAGAGCAGAGATTTCAACCATTGCATATAGCTCAGGAGTGAAAGTTTGGTGTTTGACTACGGAAAGAAGACTAATGTTAGAAAAGAGTCATTCTTCAAAGGAAAATAAACGAACCTATCTCTACAAAATATCATACACATAATCTAACATATAATTTAATCTGCCTAGACATAGAACCAGGAAAATATGACACACAACAAAAAAAGTAAACAATGGATTAAGACATTGAAATGGCCCACACGCTGGAATTAGAATATAAGAAATTTAAAATAAGCTATTATAAGCATATTCAAGGATTTAAGGAATAGATGGTCATAAGAGGGAATATATGGAGAATCTCAACAGAGAAGTAAAAATGATAAAGAGATAATAGGACAAATTTTAGAACTGAGAGACAGAGTATCTTATATAAAAATGTCATTTTATGTACATACCAGTAAATTAAAGATGGCACAAAAAATTATCAGTGCACTTAAAAACAGATCAAGAACAATTTCCCAATACAGTTAATACAAACGAAGAAAAATAATAAAAATAGGGCCAGTCTAGCACTAATATAATTGGAGTCCTAGAAAGAGTAGAGAAGTAAATGAGACAGAAAAAGCTATTTGAAAAAGTAAAGACCAAAAGTTTTCCTAATTGTCAGCATATATCAACTTACAGGTTTAAGAAACTCAAAGAACAGAATAAAAATAAAGAGAACCAAATGTAGACATACCATAGTCAAACCACTGGGCAAAAAAAAGAGTAAATCTTGAAAGTAGCTAAAGGGAGGGAGAAAATAATTTACATCCGTGGAAACAAATAGACAGATGACCTGTCATCAGAAATGACACTTTAAAAAGCAATGAAACTACATCTTCAAAAGAAAACTGTCAACTCCAAATTCTATAACTAGATAAAGTAATTCTTGAGAAAAGAAAGATTTATTCAGATAAAAGAAAGCTTCAAACAATTGTCATTAGCAGACCAAGATACAAGAAATGCAAACGGAAATTTTTTAGGCTAAAGAAAGATAACAACAGACGGAAATTCTGACCTACAGGAAGCAAGGAGAAGCTCTAGGAATGGCATGTGCATAAACGTGAAAAACTAAGGCTTATTTTTTTAGTTTTATAACAAACAACTGATGCTTTGAATAAAAAATTAAGTGTACTATTGATAATGTGTGTAAAATATTCTAAATTAATAGCTCTGACAGGAGACTAAACGCAACAATTTTGCCGCAACTTTTCCTTATGTTACATGAAAACGCTGACTATTAACACTAAGTGGACTGCGATAAGCCCAGGATGTTTATTATAATCCCTAGAGAACCACCACATTATATGAAGATATTCTTCTAAAATGCCAATAAAGGAATTAAAATGGAACGCTGAATATTGTTCAGTTAATATAAAAAGGCATGAAAGAAAGAGGAGCAAAAAATGATGGAGCAAATAGAACATAAGAGCAAAATAGGCTGGGCGCAGTGGCTCAGCCTGTAATCCCAGCACTTTGGGAGGCCGAGGCGGGTGGATCACGAGGTCAGGAGATCGAGACCATCCTGGCTAACACGGTGAAACGCCGTCTCTACTAAAAATACAAAAATTAGCCGGGCATGGCGGCGGGCACCTGTAGTACCAGCTACTCCGGATGCTGAGGCAGGAAAATGGCGTGAACCCAGGAGGCAGAGCTTGCAGTGAGCCGAGATCCCGCCACTGCACTCCAGCCTGGGTGACAGGGCCAGACTCCGTCTCAAAAAAAAAAAAAAAAAAAAAAATAGTAGGCTTAAATCCAACCTTTTCAGTAATTATTTCAAATGTAATTTAAATACTCCAAATAAAACACAGATTGTCAAACTGGATAATAAAAGTACCTATAAGAGATGCATGCCAAATATTATGGTATAGATAAGTTGAGAGTAAAATAATTTCCAAGTATACCAAGGAAACAACAAGGACAAGAAATCTTATGTGGCTATATTAATATAAGAAAAAGTAGACCTCCAAACGAGCAATATTACAACAGACAGCTATTTCATAATGACAAAATGTCAAGTAATTATGAAGACATAATGCTGTATTGCTGACAGAATAACTAAAGAAAATTAAGATAAAATAATTTTGACAACAGCTTGACCTAATCGATATTGACCAAAACAATAGAATATATGTTCTATTATGCTACACATGAAACATTTATCATTAGGCTATAGACCACAAAATATCTCTCAAGAAGTTTCAAAACACTGTAATCATGGAAAGTATGCTTTCTGACCATAATGAAAATGAGTTGAAATGGGTAAAAACAAGCTACCCAGGAAAGTCTACACTATTGGAAGATTTAAATACACCTTAAAATGCCCTTTAGCTCAATGAAGAAATCATAAGAAACACCTTTAAATACATTGAACTGAATACAAATAAAAATATACTATATCAAAATCTATGGGATAAAGTTAAGCAGACCCAGAGTAAATTTTTTGTATAAATGCTTATTCTAGAAAAGAGAAGTTCAAAACAAGTGAACTAATTTCTACCTTAAAAAGAAAATCTAAAACAAGAGAGCAAATTAAGTCCAAAACAAGTAGAGGAAAGGAAATAAAACAGAAATTAGAAATCAATGAGACAGAAAACAGAAACAGGAGAAAATCAACATGGCCAAAAGTTAGTTCTGTGAGAAAGAAAGAAAATGCAAATTATACATATCAGGGATTAATGAGATTGTACAGTTGTAGACACAAGAGACATTAACAAGATAATGGAATATTGTGAAACATTATATACAAATTTTCATTACTTGGATGAAAGGGTGACTTCCTTGAAAAAAACTTATAAAAAATTTCACAAGATTTAATGGAACATAGGAAGTAATTGACATTTATTAAAGTAATTAAATTAATTGTAAAATACCTGCACATAAAAACATAAAATTAAATAAATAAAAAAATAAGCAAACCCCAGATCTAAAGAATTTCACTGGTGAATTCTTTCAAACGTTTAAAAAAAATAAAATTTTTAAATTATTTCAGAAATAAAGAAGGGGGAAATTCCAAACTTGTTTTATGAGTCAGAATCCTGATACCAAAATTACAAAACCTAGGAATGCAAAATTGACTTCAACTTAAAGAGCTATCACCATTCTAATCTGTGATTCTAATGAATTTGGCTATCTTAGATACTTTATACAAGTGGAATCATACAGTTTGTCCTTCTGTGACTGATTTACTTTACTTAGCATTAATGTCCTCTAGGTTCATCCATGTTGCATATTGACGGGCTTTCTTGTTTTAAAGCTGAATAATATTCCGTTGTATGAATATACCACATTTTCTTTATCTTTTCATCTGCCAATAGACATTAACCTTATTCCCACATTTTAATTAGTGTAAATAATGCTGCAATGAGCCTGAGAATCATCCCAATCTCCATTCTTTAAGATAAATAACCTGAAGTGAGACTACTAGATCATATGCTAGTTCTACTTTCTTAATTTATTTGAGGAACCACCGTACTGTTTTCCATAGAGGATGCACAGTTTTACTTTCCCAGAAACACTGTAGAAGTGTTCCAATTTCTCCCCATTGTTAACACTCGTTATCTTTTTCTTTTAATAAGACCATTCTAAAGGGCTTGAGGCAATATCTCTTTGTGGTTTTGATTTGCATTTCCCTGATTAGTGATGCTGAGCATTTTTTTCATGTATCTGTTGGTCATGTGGATATTTTCTTTGGAGAAATATCTATTGCTGATTTAAAAAAAAAAAAACTCTCAGCAAGCTAGATAAAGAAATTTTCTCGAAGTGATGGAAAGCATCCACAACAAAACATATAAACAATACTATATTTAATGGTGAAAGCGTAAATGTTTAAACCACATAGATTAGGACAAGAAAGGGATGTGTGTGTTCATCACCTCTATTCAACATTGTACTGGTGATCCTAGATTTTGAGTATAAATATTTAGGGGACAACTATTGTCACTGAAGCCCAAATCTTGGTCATCCTCAGAAAAAAAAAAAAGTTGATTAGGTTGTATATAATCTAATTTTACTTGCTAATTTAATTTCTCTAAAATTGCAGCTTGTATCAACTCTAGAATTTATTGGGCACCTCCTAGGACATAAACACTGGAATTTGGTGAGAGACGTCAAATAGGAAAGAACCTGGCTCTGACATAAATTCAACACACGGAGGGGGACACATATTATGAGACTGACCTGGCCTCTTCATCTCATAAAAGGGGTTCTTGTTGCTTGTAACACAGATTAAAACTATTTCAATTACATTCAAGATAAAAAGATTAACAATGGTATGTAAGATGAAAAAATCACCCCGCAGGAAGACGAAAGTCTCACAAAAGGATATTTAAGCTAGCCAACACTTTGAAATTCAGGCAGAGATCGTGATTTCTGGGTGAACTAAAGTAGCAAGAACAAAGTAGAGGCTCCAATTCTAGGAAAAATGGGTCCTAATAAGGTTTACAATCCAGAAACTCAAGATATCCAGACAGAAGGATGCAGTCTCAGCTTTCAAGGCAGCAGCAGTACCTGGATTACTAAGCCAATCCCCAACACAATCATAAACACAAATTTGATTGAGGAAGAAGCTTGCCCACCAGAAGATTTAGGTTATTACAAGGTAGAATGTGATAGAGAAAATGAGCATGGGACTGGAAAGAAAAGGAGGTAGCCCCATGATTACAACTGGAATATATGTGTCAGCGATGGTGCGGAAATAAGACTGAAGAGAGAGATCCTTAAACCCCACGTGCCTTACATCAGGACTAATCCTGGACACAGGCTGGAAAGCATAGCCTACAGGTGGTGAGGCAGGAGGAGTGGGCTCAGCTGTGAGAAGGAGAAGGAAATATGGCTGAAAACTAGATAGGGGTCTTGAAATCACACCGAGGATTTGGGCCTTTGCTGCTGTCTGCCAGCAGCTGCCAGTAGTTCTCACACTTTGGCTGGCAACAAAATCACCTGGGGCAGTGGTGCGGAAGCGGGGGGAGTGTTGTAAAACCACAAGTGACCAGGCAAAAAACACCTGTATGTTTTCCAATTCAGTAAGTACAGAAATATTAATTGGAAAAAGGTGGAGGTCAGACATTGATAGTGCTGTGGACTGCTCCAGGGACGTAAGCATGATCTTTAGAGAGGTGACTCTAATCAATTGAGGGCAACCACTGGACAGAAAGAGGTCCAGACCAACCATACACAGAGACATCATACAACTACACTTTAGCAACCTCTCCAAATAACATGTCTCTTAGTGAAACTTGGGAGGTTGAAAGTTAAAAACATAAAATCCAGTGGCATTTATGTATCCTAGGCACTTACATTTGTCTGATTCTTCCAACTTGCCTTTGCTTGGTTAGAGTTTTGGGTAGATAAGAGGTGGATTTACATGTGCTAGTGTGAGAACTTTGATACACTCATTTAGACATTGACCTACTATCTTGTTTGAAAGCTAAAACCCAAAGAAATTTGTCTTTTTACATAAAACAAATTCAGCCCTTGCCTTCCTTGTAGATTACATCTTCCACTAGCAGTAATAAAAAAGTAACAATATGCATAAGTCAAAGTATCTTCTTAGATCCTCTGTAGTGTTTTATTATTTAGTTGTGTTAATTAAAGTAACTGTCTCAAAATTTCAAGGAATGCCTGAGAAGAAATTCATGTTCAAAGGCTGCCCTCTTGTGACAATGTGTTGTATGCTTTACTGTAAAAGTAACCTTATTTTACCTTATAACCTCTACAATCCAATTCATAACAGCATAAAAAGGAAACAAAACCTTACATAATTTTGAATTTTAAAAAGTACCTTGTTTATATGGCTCCTTTAGCTAATGAATAGTCAATTTGGTAAATATTCCAGTGAGTTGAAGGTTTGAATCTATCTCACTTAACTAGCTTGATGAATGTATTTCTAAACCTATACAACCCACTCCTCTGCTTTTAAAAAATTAAAGTTAGCTGTAGATTGAGATGTCAGTGACACAGTTTATAGAACATAACTTAGATTGTCATCTACATTACTGTAACTACAAATACCACCCTCAGATGGAAGAATAAGTTTTATCAGTGAACATCTCTAATTGAACTATAAATGGTGTATGTCTTCTGGTTTTTACAAGCTCTTGGTCTAACACAGGGGATATATGATGTAAAAATTACAAAGCAAGGTCACTCACGGTGGCTCATGCCTGTAATCCCAGCACTTTGGGAGACCAAGGCGGGCGGATCACAAGGTCAGGAGATCGAGATCATCCTGGCTAATATGGTGAAACCCCGTCTCTACTAAAAATACAAAAATTAGCTGGGTGTGGTGACACACGCCTGTAGTCCCAGCTACTCAGTAGGCTGAAGCAGGAGAATCGCTTGAACCCAGGACGCGGAGGTTGCAGTGAGCCGAGATCGCACCACTGCACTCCAGCCTGGTGGGAGAACGACTCCATCTAAAAATAAATAAATAAATAAATAAATAAATAAATAAATAATAAAATAGCAGTGACTATAATGTTTTGTGATGTTAAACTTTGAGAGCTTTTTTTTTTCTTTCTTTTCCCAAGTGCCTTTCCCAGTTCCAGGAGCAGAGTTATTCTAAGCCCACTGATGTAAAGGAATAGAAAGAAAAGGTTTGTTGGAAAACCTAATAACCTGCTTTCTGTCTTTTGTTTTTTAAAAGCTTGAGCATTTGGGAGAATTTGGAAAGATTGTGGAGTAAGTGCAAAGAAGGAATTTGCTAACAAAAATCATATAAGGTAAAATGAGTTTTTTCCAGGTTAGAAAATATCCACTCCCTACCCTCCTACATTCCTTTCCCATGGTTAAGAAGAGGAAAAAACAAAGGCCTCTTGGTGAGCAGTGGTGACTTAGGCAGTTTCTTAGAAATATTCTAGAAGGCATAGTCATCTTTTAAAAAAAAAATAGCTACAAGGATATGTCTAAGCAGAAGGGTCCATGGGCCAAATTACGTGTAGATTTTTGCATTCCAAATATGGTAAAGAAGAAGCAGGAAGCTGGGGCTCCTTAACAGGTCACACAGAAATGGACAAGGAAGAGGCCAGCAGCAGCTTGTGGGGACAAGATGTCAAGCCCCAAATGTTAAACCCACCAACCATCCTCCAAATTCTGGCTCTGTTTAACAAGGCTGTGGTCTGACACTACATGCCGCCTCAGTGACTAAAGCATAATTTCCCGTCTCCTGGGAGTGTTGACAGCTGACTCCTGGCAACAATACTCACAGCACAGTAAAGTTCCTTCATCCAAGTTCATGTCCCTTCTCAAGGCATCCCACATCCGAGAACTGCTTGGTACAGAAATATAATGGCCTGGTTTTCTTGCTCCAATTCGAGGTCTTTAGGTAAACTCACCAAGATCTTGTAGAGTGGACTGCGGCCATGATAGTGATTGCATTCCAGCCGACTTCCTGCTCCACCCAATCCTATTGCTTTCACTCTTCCACAGGTGTTGGGAATATCATTTCAACCTCCTTGCATGCAAATCTCCAACTCGGAGTCGGCTTCCTAGGACACCTGACTGGTGATATCTCTATCACTATCACAGTACTTAGAGGGGAGCATCTTAAAATGATTGAAGGCTAACTGCCCTAACAGCACAGACAGATGATGGCTTAAAATAGAATTTAAGTGGATTTAAAAAAACATGAAAAAAGTTGACATTGCACGCTCATATGAGCTTATGGATCAAACCATGTGTATGATTTCTAAGATCCCTCGTGCAGTATATATTTGCACTGTTTATAAATGACATCCCCTTGAATTGAATTCAGTGCAATTCAAAACAGTAATTTGTGGGAAAAATTAGATATGCAGATAGCCTGGACTCTAGAGAAGCACACATCATTTGGAGAATAATAGTGAACCGGCTAGTCTATGAGGGAAGAAAACAGAGTGAATATAGACTATTAGTGAACAAGGATATTTTCCCATGTATATTCAAATTAAGGTGAACTTCTTTAGAGAATTGTGCCTTAGAAAGAAAAAGTATTTCCCTGTATTTGAGTCCTCACAAGTTTTCCTACGATGAGTGCTTTTGTGATTATTTTGAATAACAAAGTAATATTTAAAGAAACTCTCTTGCCCTGAATGTACTTTAATTTATGTCAATTGATGTTGCATATAGAGATCATCAGAGTCAAGCTACAAGAAAAAGAGGAACATAACTTAGCAAAGACTTAGAGGATTAGTCCTAATAGTGTGAAATCAAAATTTCAAGTGAGGGAATAAATGCAGCTTTTAATGATTACTTAAATGAAGTTTAACTCTAGCAGGATCTACAAGAAATTGGCAACCTTTGGCTTCAGTAACAGAAACTCAGGATATATGCCCTTCAGTGAGTTTGCATTCTGCATCATACTGAGAGACACTCCTTTAAACAGCAATAAGAAACTTCCTGTGACAACATAATAAATTCAAAAAGTTCTGTAACTCAGACAGTTTAGATAGAAGTGATAACTTTGGCCTATAAAGCCCTGTTCACCCTAAAGATGGATTAAACAATGAAAAAGATATTGATATCAAAAGTTCAATCAGTAATTTGATTAAAGCATTTCATTAAATGTGATAATTTCTTAGTATATTATCTTACATATGCAATATTCATGTGTAACAAATTATATACAAGTAAACATTTGACCATATTATCTGCAGCATAATTTACATATCAATTTACATATTCAGTTTTGCTCACATGAAAACTTGGATCTTCTCAATAAGAAAATTTGTGAAATCTTTAATTCCTCATCCCCAGGAATGTAAATAAATAAATATAAATACTGTAAGTCAGTGATTTTTTCCTAGGAAGACAGTAAAAATACTTTACACGCCTTCTCATTGTAAACCTAAATAACAAACAGAGAAAGGCTCTCTAAAGGAAAAAGACACATCTTAGGGAGGAGGGCACTGCAATGGGAATATGCATGACAAAGCAAACTATATAGATTCAAATGGTAAAGGAAGACAAGGACTTTAAAAGAAAAATGATCAACCTGGAAGTATGGGGGAGTAGAAAAAAATAAATAAGGGAAAATGAAGAGGCTTCTATAATTGTTTTGATATAGTTACCTTTGACTATAAAGATCAACAACAAGGTCAATATCAGTTGAAGTTTGGGCAGGCGGTTGCTGGATAGATGTCCTCACAGAAGTGTATTTTGTGTAAGGTTGCTATGGCCTTTGTGCAAGGTTGTGGTTTTTGTGGTATTTTGTAATAGTTTTTATCAGGCCTAGAAGCATGAGAACCCTCTCTTCAAGGCCTTCTCTGAATCTATTTGTTCAGGTTTCTTCTTCTCTTTTTAAACATTAGTGACAGTTTTGATTCTGATAACTTTCATATCATGATCCCTAATTTCAAAAAAAATTAAACGTGTAACTTATTTATGATGTATTTGATAGGCTTGGATTTGTGAATCACCTCTACTATCTATAGTGGTAGATATATCTGAGCCTGCTTACACAGGACTTCCATCAGATTCTCTCTTCAGTGGAATTGGAAGAGGGGGTTTTGGAGAAGGGAATGAAGGAATTGTGCTGCATCAGAGGTCCCCACCTAACAGCACAGGGTCTTTTTCTGTGCTCTTGCCAGGCCGTTGTATTGGCTGATGCAAAAGTAATTTTGGTTTTGTCATTGAAAGTAATGAGACCATCTGACTTACAATGTCTGTGCCATAACCAGCTCCTAATAGCCTCCGAGGACAGCTTTGCCCTGACATATACTGTCCTGGGACCACGTCTGCTTTGTAACTCCTGAGGTAGCTGCCACCATGACCAATGCCTTCTCATCTTTACTCTACATGCAGGTAACAGTTATAATTATATCTCTGTGTATTCACAGAACATTTAGTACATCTGGGACTTCTACAAAATTTCCCTAGCTGATTTTGGTGTTCTGGGGTACTGGCAGCTCTAGCCATGAAGGGATGATGCTTTATCAGCATTTCTGTTGAGTTTTTTGCTTTTTCTCAAAAACTGATTCCACTTTTCCCACATACGTTTGACAATTCATTTGAACTCATTTATTCTAAACCCATTATTTCTGGTCTATTATTTAATAGGAAGGGAGGCGAGGGATAAAAGATTACAAATAGGGTGCAGTGTACACTGCTCGGGTGATGGGTGCACCCAAATCTCACAAATCTCCAGTAAAGAACTTACCCATGGAACCAAATACCACCGTACCCCAATAACCTATGGAAAAAAATAAAAAATAAAGTAAAAAAGAGTCAGAAAGAAAGAAAATAATCACTGTACTTCCCAAGACACTTAGAAATGGTGACTAGCATTATTTGTAAGTGTCACCTAATAATATTATTATTTTTTCTTTATGCTACAAACTAGCTCTGATATTACAATCACTACTATTTGAAGTGTTACTAAATTAAATTAAATGTATTGTATCCTTCTGGACTCAGAAATGGGGGTAAATGCTAAGACAATTTCAGAATATGATCACATATTAAAAGCATATTATATGGGGAAAATTTGATTTTTAAAAAATAGAAATTGGTAGAGAAACAATTTTTGGGTCTTTAATGTACGCACATTTTGCAAGTATGGACGCTGAATTTATTGTTCCAAATGATTGTTTTCAAGCATGTTTGTATAGAAAACAGCCTTGGAATAGAAAACCAGTACCTCCTTCTGGAACAAAGGAAAAGTTTATTTACTGTCTAGTATAATGCAGATAATTTCTCCCTCTTGGGAAGCATACAGCCAAGTGAACTTCCAATAACACAAGTTGGGGTTTCTTGAGCTTGGGTTTTTCTTCCACAGTGTAATGTGCAGGTGCCACTTGGCTCTCTTTGTGTTATCCTGCGAAAGCTGATGGCTATAGGTGCATGTGTTTATTTTGGGTTTCTCTATTATGTTTCATTGGTCTTTGTGTCTGTTTTCATATCAGTACCATGTTATTTTGTCTACTGTGGCCTTAGGGTATAGTATGAAGTCAAGTAATGTGATGTCTCCAGCTTTGTTCTTCTTGCTTAGATTTCCTTTGGTTGTCTGGGCTCTTTAAAAATCCATATGAAATTTAGAATATTTTTTTTTTCTGATTCTGTGAAAAACGACATTGGTTGTTTCATAGGAATAGTGTTGAATGTGTAGATTGCTTTTGGCAGTATAGCCATTTTAACAATATTGATCTTTCTAATCCATGAGCATGGAATGGTTTTCCATTTGTTTCGAGATCTATGATTTCTTTCTGCAGTGTTTTGTAGTTCTCCTTTTAGATATCCTTTACCTCCTTGGTTAGACATATTCTTCCTTTATTTTATTTTATTTTGGGGGTTGCTGTTGTAAACAGGATTGCACTCTTGATTTACCTTTCAGTTTAAACATTTTTGGTGAACAGAAATGCTACTTCTTTTTATATGTTGTTTTTTTTTTATCCTGAAAGTTTGCTGAAGTTTTTTTTATCAGTTCTAGGAGCCTTTTGGCACAGTC
The DNA here is from genome assembly GCF_000001405.40 of Homo sapiens. Taxonomy (NCBI): domain Eukaryota; kingdom Metazoa; phylum Chordata; class Mammalia; order Primates; family Hominidae; genus Homo; species Homo sapiens. Next base: position 9,298,317 of record NC_000021.9, read on the forward strand.
TTTAGGGATTTCTAGGTGTAGAATCATATCATCAGTGAAGAGAGATAATTTGACTTCATTTCCTATTTGGATGCTTTTTATCGCTTTCTCTTGCCTGCTTGCTCTGACTAGGACTTGTTAAACAGGAGTGGGGAGAACAGGCATCCCTATTTTATTCCTGTTCATAAGGGGAATGTGTTGGGAGAAAAGCTGAGTGTTGGAAGACAAGCTGAGGCAGGGCCATATGTTTCTCATTCACTTGATACACCATTTCCTTTCAACCCCCACATCCTCACCACCTGTTTCTTTGTTTGAGCACCAACAAATAGCGTGGGCTCCCAGAGCTTGGGGACTTTGCAGACTCCATACTCGTGATGGTCTCCTGGTCCCACTTTCTCTCTCAAACTGTCTTTTTCTCATTCCTTTGACTCTGCCGGACTTCATCACCCCCATGACCAAGTGTTGGGTCTGATCACCCCAACATTCCTGGCGCCCAACATAGGGTGACAAAGACCCGGTGAAGGAAGGCTAGAGCATATGAAAGCAGAGGACACATCATCAAAAGACACCCGAGGACATACAAAGATGGGGAGTGAAAGTTAGTACTTAGAATTTGTTATTACTCTTTAGTACAGTAAAGCAGTTTTGCCCATGGTTTCCAGAACAAAGGACTATGCAGTTGGATGAATGGGAGAGAATTGGAAGAGATTTTTAATAGGCATATAAAGATGGAGCAGAAATTCCAGTTTATATATGGTCAGTGTGGGCACTAATAAAGGCAGCCCTTGAGCCATTTCAAACAGATGATGAGGCAGATTCAGATGAGGAAGAGGAGGATGAGTGTAAAAAACTAACTTCAAATTCTGAGTGTGAGGAGCAGCTACCGGAGGAGATTAAAGAAAAGAAAGAAAAACTTTAAAAAGTATGTTTTACTAGCCCGTTGGCTCCACCTGCTGAATTAAGTGAATGGCCACCTCCTCTCTCTCCCCTAAATGGGTGAGAAAATAAATTAGCTGAAAAACTTACTGCTCCTGTAGTTACAACATTAAAACCTGGAGCAGTTGGTGGTGCTAGACAAAATTCTATTCAAAAAGCTAAAGCCAAGGGAGACCTTGAAGCATGGTAATTTCCCGTTACTATAATCCAGCAAGTAGGACAGAATATAGCTAATTAGCCTGCTTTTTCTTCTAAGTTACTAAAGAATTTAAGCAAGCCATTAGTCAATATGGACTGAACTGTCTTTTTGTGCAATCTTTATTAAAAAATATGGCTCTTGATAATACATTACTACCATATAATTAGGATACTTTGACAAAACCTGTTCTCACTCCCATCTCAGTACTTGCAGTTTAAAACTTGGTAGGCTGATGAACTCAAACTCAGGCAAAAGAAAACACACACGTGCAGCCACCTGTGCCTGTTTTCTTTGATCAGTTAATATGAGTTGGTCCTAACTGGGGTTGATTAGAGAATCAAGCAGTAATGGAAGATGTTGCCATTATTCAGCTGTGCTTCATGTGCTTACATGCATAGAAAAGGATAAATGTTACAGGGGAAAAGTATCCTTATTTAAGTTCTGTCTGACAAGGACCTAAAGAACCATATATTAATTCTATTGCTCAGCTCCAAGAGGCTGTGTATAAAGCCGTAAATGATCAAAACAGCTCAGGATGTTGTAATACAGCTTCTTGCATACAATAATGCTAATGCAGAGTGTCAAACTGCTATTAGATATCTGAGAGAGAAGGCTCATTTAACTAAATATATTAAGTCTTGCGATGGCATTGGAGGTAACTTACATAAGGCTATTCTTTTAGCTCAGGCTATGGCTAGATTAAGAGTAAGAAAAAATATGCTTCATTTCTCAGGCTCTTGCCTTAATTGTGGGCAAATTGGACACAAGAAAGGAATGTAGAAAGGAATTCAAAAGACGAAAACTACTACCATGAATCAACAGAAAAGACCCAGTGTATGTCCCTGGTGTAAGAAAGGCAATCACTAGGCAAGTCCGTGTCATTCTAAATTTAGCAAAGATAGACAACCTCTTTGAGGAAATAGGAAGAGGGACCCGCCTCAAGCCCCTCAACAAACTGAGGCATACCCAGCACAGCCACTGCCCTTACAAATGTACAGCAATTGTCCCCCGCCTCAGCAAGCAGTGCTGCTGTAGACCTCTACAGCACAATTCCCATCTCCTTACTTCCTGGGGAGCCACGAAAGAAGGTCCCCACAGGAGTTAGGGCACCCTTACCCTGAGGAACTGTTGGGAACAAGCCCCCACAAATCCGGCCATAAACTGGCCCCAAAACTGGCCATAAACAAAATCTCTGCAGCACTGTGACATGTTCTTGATGGCCATAACACCCACGCTGGAAGGTTGTGGGTTTACCAGAATGAGGACAAGGAATACCTGGCCCGTCCAGGGTGGAAAACCACTTAAAGGCATTCTTAAGCCACAAACAATAGCATGAGTGATCTGTGCCTTAAGAATAAGGGATACTTTTAGTTAATCTAATATCTATAGAAACAATGCTAATGACTGGCTTGCTGTTAATAAATACGTGGGTAAATCTCTGTTCAGGGCTCTCAGCTCTGAAGGCTGTGAGACCCCTGATTTCCCACTTCACACCTCTATATTTCAGTGTGTGTGTCTTTAATTCCTCTAGTGCTGCTGGGTTAGGGTCTCCCCAACCGACCTGGTCTCAGCAAGTGGTGCCCATTCATGGGGGCTCGAATACAGGTCAAAGGATCGCTGGAGCAACGATTGGAGAATGTGGAACTAGCTGGAGGACATCCGAGTACTCTTAAAGCAATCCCCGTGGTGAGTCAGAAGGGGAGCTCGGAAGCATCAGGGTAACAATGGGACAAGTGTGGGCTGTGGTTCGTTCTACCTTGGAACTTTTTCACACTGATAATGAGGAGGAAGGAGAGTATATCAAAGTAACAGTAGAGGCTACAGACCAGGTTTATTTGCCACCTAAAGCTAAAGCAGAAAAGGAGGGAGAGGTTCATCCCTACCCTTCTGCACCCCCTCATTATTATTTTGAAGAAAACGACCCTCCAGATATTTCTTTTCTGGAGGACACTGGGTGAAAAGTAGTTGCCCTGGTGACTGTTCGAGCACCGCCTTGAGCGACTGCTTAGTTCTATTCAGGCAGGAATTCAGCAAGCTAGACAAAAGTGGGATTTAGAGGCTTGGCAGTTCCCTGTTTGAATACACCCCCCAGATCAACAGGGAAATATTATAGCTACATTTGAATCTTTTCCTTTTAAATTACTCAAAAAAATTAAACAAGCTATAAATCAGTATGGACCAGGTTCTCCTTTTGAAATGGGACTGTTAAAGAATGTTGCTGTTTCCAGTCGGATGATTCCTACTGACTGGGACACTCTTACTCTAGCTTGTCTAACTCCTGCTCAGTTCTTACAATTTAAAACTTAGTGGGCAGATGAAGCTTCCATTCAGGCTGCTCGCAATGCCTGGGCCCAACCTCAAATTAATATAACTGCAGACCAACTTTTGGGGGTTGGTGGCTGGGCTGGTTTACATGCACAAGTAGTCAAGCAGGATGATGCCATAGAACAGCTTAGAGGAGTGTGCATTAGAGCTTGGAAAAAATCACTTCATATGGAGAACAATACCCTTCATTTAGTGCTATAAAACAGGGACCAAGAGAACCATATGTGCATTTTATAGCTTGGTTACAGGAGTCTCTTAAAAAGATGATTGCAGATTTGGCTGCTTAGGATATAGTGTTGCAGTTATTAGTTTTGACAATGCTAATCCCTATTGCCAGGCTGCTCTGCGACCTATCAGAGGGAAAGCACATTTAGTTGATTATAACAAGGCCTGTGATGATATCAGAGATAATCTACATAAAGCTACTTTGTTGGCACAGGCGATGGCAGGACTGAGAGTGGATAAAGGAAATACTCTATTTCCTGGAGCTTGTTTTAACTGTGGGAAGCATGGTCATACTAAAAAGAATGTAAAAAAAAAATCAGCAAGTCAGGCCACCAGATAGGTGAAAAAAGAAAACTGCTGATCCTGAAATATGTCTAAAATGTAAAAAAGGAAAACTTTGGGCTAATCAGTGTCACTCTAAGTTTGATAAAGAAGGGAACCCGATTTTGGGAAACTCCCTGGGGGGCCCATTCCAGGCCCTGTTCTAAACCAGGGCATTTCTAGCTCAGGCCATTCCCTCACACCCGTACATTATCTGTCCCCCACCATAGCCCATAGTGTCGCAGTAGACTTATGCTGCACAAAAGCTGTGAGCCTTCTGCCTGGGGAACCCCCGCAAAAGGTCCCAACAGGAGTCTGTGGACCGTTGCCAGGAGGGACAATGGGATTACTTTTAGGAAGGTCTAGTTTAAGTTTAAAAGGGGTACAAATACACACTGGAGTCATTGATTCAGATTACAATGAGGAAATTCAAATTGTGATATCTACTTCTGTTCCCTGGAAAGCACAGCCAGGAGTGGGCATAGCACAGCTCCTGAGTGTGAAGTATGTGGGAATGGGAAAAAGTGAAATTAAATGAACTGGAGGATTTGGAAGCACAAATAAAAAAGGCAAGGCAGCTTATTGGGTAAATCAAATTACTGATAAACATCCTATCTGTGAAATAACTATCCAGGGAAAGAACTTTAAAGGTTTGGTAGATACAATTTTTTTTTTTTTTTGGTAGGAGTGGACATTTCAATCATTTCTCTACAGCACTGGCCGTCCATGTGGCCAATTCAGCCCACTCAATTTAACACAGTGGAAACTGCTAAAGCCCCAGAAGTGTATCAAAGTAGCTATATTTTGCATTGTGAAGGGACCGATGGACAACCTGGGACTGTTCAACCAATTGCAACTTCTGTACCTATAAATTTATGGGGGAGAGATTTATTATGACAATGGGGAGCACAAGTTCTAATTCCATAGCAATTATACAGCCCTCAAAGTCAACATATGATGCACGAAATGGGGCATGTCCCTGGTATAGGAGTAGAAAAAAATTGCAAGGTTTGAAAGAACTGCTTCAAACGGAAAGACAAAGTTCCTGCCAAAGATTAGGATACCATTTTTGATGGTGGCCACTGTTAAGCCTCCAGAACCTATACCTTTAAAATGGTTAACAGATAAGCCAATTTGGATAGAATAATGGCTGCTAAGCAAAGAGAAACTGGATGCTTTAGAGAAATTAGTTACTGAACAATTAGAAAATGGGCACATAGCTCCAACATTTTCCCCTTGGAATTCTCCAGTGTTCATAATTAAGAAAAAATCAGGTAAATGGAGAATGTTAACTGACTTAAGAGCCATCAATTCAGTTATACAACCTATGGAAACATAACAGCCAGGATTGCCTTCTCCTACTATAATTCCAAAAAATTGGCCTTTAATAGTCACAGATTTAAAAGACTGTTACTTTACTACCCTTTTAGCTGAGCAAGACTGTGAACGGTTTGCATTTACAATTCCTGCAGTAAACAACCTGCAGCCTGCTAAGCGTTTTCGTTGTTTCACAGATGGGTCTAGTAATGGTAAAGCTTCTTATTCTGGATCAAAAGGTAAAGTTTTCCAGACACCCTATACTTCAGCTCAAAAAGCGGAGCTTGTAGCTGTAATTGAGGTATTGACTGCTTTTGATATGCCTGTTAATGTGATTTCTGATTCTTCATACATGGTTCATTCCACACAGTTAATTGAAAATGCTCAGTTACGATTTCATACAGATGAACAACTGATAATAAAAACAAAAAAAGGGGGAGAAACAGGGATTACGGGTAGCCCATACACAATTGAATCTATCATTATTAACTTTCAAATTTTTGAGCCTGCCCAAAGGCCAGATGTTACCAGCAGCTGAACAGCATCTACAGAAACTAGCTGCAAAGAGAGAAGCAGAACAACTGGTTTGGTGGAGAGATCCAATAACAAAAAGTTGGGAAATAGGTAAAATTATAACTTGGCATAGAGATTATGCTTGTGTTTCTCCAGGACCGAATCAACAACTGATTTAGATACCATCAAGACACCTGAAATTTTATCATGAGTCAGATGCTGAGGAAGAGATAAAAAGCACAATCATCATTGAAATTAGAGCTTCTGGCTGGGCGCGGTGGCTCACGCCTGTAATCCCAGCACTCTGGGAGGCCGAGGTGGGCAGATCACAAGGTCAGGAGATCGAGACCATCCTGGCTAACACAGTGAAACCCCGTCTCTACTAAAAATACAAAAAATTAGCTGGGTGAGGTGGCGGGCGCCTATAGTCCCAGCTACTCAGGAGGCTGAGGCAGGAGAATGGCATGAACCCGGGAGGCAAAACTTCAGGTTTTGCCAAGAATGACACTGTAAATGTAACAAAGCTTCTGTGCTTGTTAGTGAACACCAAATCAGCTACTCTCCTGTATTCGGAGATCAGGATGAAATGAAAAGAACAAGCAGGCCGGGCGCGGTGGCTCATGCCTGTAATGTCAACACTTTGGGAGGCTTCGGTGTGCGGATCACCCGAGGTTGGGAGTTTGAGACCAGCCTGACCAACATGGAGAAACCCCGTCTCTACTAAAAATGCAAAATGTGCTGGGCATGGCGGCACAAGCCTGTAATCTCAGCTTTGGAGGCTGAGGCAGGATAAGTGCTTAAACCTGAGAGGGGGAGGTTGCTGTGAGGCAATATTGCACCATTGCACTCCAGCCTGGGCAACAAGAGTGAAACTCCATCTCAAAAAAATAAAAAATAAAAAAAGACCCCCAACCTTGTCTAGACTGTGGGGTTTCAGTTTCACCCCAGGGGGGTCCTGGTTGGGTTAGAATCCTGAATCTCGTTTGAGTTCGAACCCTAAAGAATAAAGGGAATAAAGGCTGTAGCTACTGAGCTACTCAATCTGGTCTGGTTCTGGCTTTTGTGTGTCTATCTGTATTTTTGGTCTAAATATTTGGCCCAACAGAGGTTAAAGGCTTTGATGTTCTCAGCAAAAGCCTTGTGAGATTTCTAGTTTATCTGTGTGCTCAATTGGAACAAAGAGACTCAATAAACTAGAAAAACCTAAAGAAAATGGCACACGTGAAAAATTGAGAGCCAACTCCTGTTTGTTGTTCTGTCCACCTCCCTCTCTCACTCCTCCTTCTGCCTTTGCTGTGGTCCCATGGTGTTTCTGTCTTTCCGGGGACCTGAGATTCAGTGTAGGAGTGAAGTCCATGATTTTAAAGCCTTCATGTCTCTGCTTTTTAACTCTGCCTGCTTTGCTGAGCTCTTATAATGAGAAATAAACTATTCAGAACAGGTACAACAGGGCATCAGAAAACCAACTTCAGGCAGCGCTCCGGCAAGTACCTCCCTAGAGGGGAAGGGCTTACTAAAGGAGATTTAATCTTGAAAAGGCCAAAATGAGAAGCTCTAACCTTTAGCTTGCTAGGTTTTCTGGGACTCGAGCTGGCTATATATTATGGACCATTCTAGCCACACACACACACACACACACACACACACACACACACACTTTTTTGAGACAGAGTCTTGCTCTGTTGCCCACGCTGGAGTGCAGTGGTGCGCTCTTGGCTCACTGCAACCTCCACTTCCCAGGTTCGAGCAATTCTCCTGTCTCAGCCTCCTGAGTAGCTGCGATTACAGGTGTACGCCAACATACCCGGCTAATTTTTGTGGTTTTAGTAGAGATGAGGTTTCACTATGTTGACCAGGCTGGTCTCAAACTCCTGATCTCAAGTGATCCACCCACCTTGGCCTCCCAAACTGCTGGGATTACAGGCATGAGCCACTGTGCCCAGCCTATATATATATATATATATATATATTTATATTTATATTTATATATTTATATTTATATTTTTTTTCTTTTTCTTTTTGACACACAGTCTTGCTCTGTTGCCCAGGATGGAGTATGGTGGTACAATCGCGGCTCACTGCAACCTCCACCTCCCAGGTTTGAGCGATTATCCTGCCTCAGCCTCCTGAATAGCTAGGACTACAGGTGCACACCACCACACCCAGTTAATTTTTGTATTTTCAGTAGAGATGGGGTTTTGTCACGTTGGCCAGGCTGGTCTCAAACTCCTGGCCTCAAGTGATCCACCTGCCTCAGCCTCCCATAGTGTTGGGATTACATGAATGAGCCACTGCACCTGGTCTCTAGTGCACACTTTAAACCTGACGGCCAAATTACATGAAAGAAAATTCAGAACTCAAATAGTTACTATTTTTAAAAACCCTAAAATGAAAAAGTCTCAGTTCTTTTGCCTATCTTTTTTTTTTTCCCTGCCTACTTTGAATCTGCTGATTTGTCTACTGGTGTTGAGATAAGACTTACTGTCTGTGGTGTTACCAATTCAAGGTTACTTGGCTGAAGAAAAACAAAAGAATGAAACAATTTTTTATTTTTTTCTCTTTTTGAGACAAGGTCTTACTCTAAGGTCTTACTCTGTTCCCCAGACTGGAGTGCAGTAGTGGGATCATAGATCACTGTTATCTCAACCTCCCAGGCTCAAGCAATCCTCCTGCCTCATCCTCTCTAGTAGCTGGGACAATAGGCATGCACCACCATGCCTGGCAATTTTTTATCTTATTCTTAGTAGAGATTGGATCTCACTCTGTTGCCCAGGCTGGTCTCAAACTCCTGAGCTCAAGTGATCCTCTTGCCTCAGCCTCTCAAAGTGCTGGGATACAGGCATGAACCACTGTGCCCAGACAAAAGAGTTCTTTTATAAATGCAAATAATTTAAAAAGTACTGATAAAATAAAAATAGAAATGTCTTCAGAATTGTCAGCATACATTTTTGACTGTGTTTTATATTTACATTTGCTAGATATTTTAAGGTGCTAGGGTTTGGCATGAAGGTTATAAAGCTATAAACACAGGAAAAAAAGAATATTTGTTTATGTGATTTTTTAAATACATAAGACCAATTTAATACGGTTTGTTGAACAAAAATAATGGAATTTTCTGAGTTATTGGTAAAATACCCTTGTATTTAACTTTGAAATCCTCACTTATGTGAACACCTGATATTCACAGGCTATAACATGGTTAACAAGAAAATAACCTAGAAATGACTAGCTTTGTCTAATACCTCAGTTCTCACAAATACTCTAGATAAACTGTCAAAAATAAGTAAATGTAAATGGATAAATGTCTATACAAGACATTTTAATGTATTTTTGAAATTTTTTTGAGCCAATGTCTCTGCCTGTCACCCAGGCTGAAGTGCAGTGGCATGATCACAGCTCATTGCAACCTTGACCTCCTGCACTCAAGGGATCCTCCCACCTCAACCTCCCAAGAAGTTGTTAATTACAGGCATGCAACACCATGGTCAGCTAACTTTTATTTTTTTTGTAGAGTCAGCATCTCGCTATTTGCTCAGGCTGGTCTCACGATACTCCTGCCTTGGCCTCCTAAAGTGTTGGGATTACAGGTGTGAGCCACCATGCCCAGCCTATTTTTGAAATTTTAGTTATGTTAAATTAAATAATAGATACTCATTAAATATCTGGGTTATTTCCAATTTAAAACTTATGTTTTAGCCCAGGCACTATGGCTCATGCCTGTAATCCCAACACTTTGGAAGGCCAAGGCGGGTGGCTCACCCGAGGTCAGGAGCTCAAGACCAGCCTGATCAACATGGTGAAACCCCATCTCTACTAAAAAATACAAAAAATTAGCCAGGTGTGGTGGTGGGTTCCTGTAATCCCAGCTACTCGAGAGGCTGAGGCAGGAGAATTGCTTGAACCTGGGGGACGGAGGTTGCAGTGAGCTGAGATCACACCATTGCACTCCAGCCTGGGCAACAAGAGCGAAAATCCACCTTAAAAAATATGTTTTAGGAACACATAATTCTAAATTATGAAATCATTCTCATATGTAAGATACTGCTATATGACAATTCAAGATTTCTTTCTTCCTAAGTTTTTTATTAAAATAAGGGTTACTAAGTGTTAATATCTTGGTAGATATATGTGATTAAGACTACTAGATACAAGAGAAACAATTCTGTATGCAAAATCTATACGGGTTTTTGTTTCAGAGAAAGTAAATTCGCTTAGAGATTTTTAAGGATTATTTTAAATTGAAGGAATAAAAAAGATAGATAAAACTAAATGTGTATAAAAAGTTGGGAAAGATGGAAAAAATTATACAAGCTTATTAAAAGTTTATGTAAATCTTACCTCGAGGTCAAAACTGATTGAGATCAGATAGATTGTTTATAAGGTTTATTTAAATTAGCTGTAATATTAAAAACATAGTGATAAAAAACAAAAAAATTTGGTTAAAACAACAAGGTTTTCTTAATGCATTTATTTGCTCATAATAAGAGGTAATAAATATTGACTTTTAATCCTGATATCTGTTACTATAAAATCTTTTCAGATTTGTATATCAGAAGTTCAACGTTTCCTGTACTTTCATGTTACACATGACTCACAGATCACATCATTGTCTTCTGTTTCTTCTTGAGAAGGAATAAAAGGCTTGGGTTTCCTGCTTGGCTGGGATGATAACTCCTTCAGCTTTTTCATCAGGTCTAATTTTGTACTCTTGGCTTTTAAATATGTCTTAATTACTTCATGTAACCAGGATACAGCAGGAAACTTCCATGCTATCATTGTGAGCTATGGATCCCCACTGCTCTATGCTCTGGTTTTCCTGTTTACATTCCTCTGTAATATTATGCTCACTCATGACCCTGGACACACTCTTTCTATGTCTAATTAAATTCAAGTCTCCGTGTCATCGGTTTGACTTCCAAGTGATTTAAATTAGCTTCCCATAAGAAGACACAGTTATGCCACAGGAGCTTTTACCCTTTAAATGACTGGCCTGTAATAAAGATTTTAGGTTTTATCAAGATAATCCATGTGTTGCCTTTATTGTTTTTTTAATTACTTGGGAAAACTGAGGGTTTTCAGTTTTCACATCCATGTAACCTTCTATGTTGCTTTTGATGTCTTTTGGTTGTCATGTTAATTAAATGAATGTTATTTAAAAATGACATGTGGCTGTGTGCAGCGGCTCTTGTCTGTAATTCCAGCCCTTTGGGAGGCCAAGGTGGGTGGATCACTTGAGCCCAGGAGTTCAAGTCCAGCCTGGGCAAAATGGCAAAACCCCATATCTACTAAAAATACAAAAGCTAGCTAGGTGTGGTAGCAAGTGCTCATAGTCCTGGCTACTTGGGAGACTAAGGTGGAGGATCACCTGAGCCTGGGAGGTTGAGGCTGCAGTGAGCCATGATTTCACCACTGCACTCCAGCCTGGGCAACAGGGTGAGACCCTGTCTCAAAAAAATAATAAAATAAAAAACAATAAACTACCATTCCGTTTTGGTCAAATGTTTTCAATTTTTTGACATCTTTGCTAAAACTTAGTTGATAACATTGTATGGGAAGCATTGCCAAAAGATAAGTAACACTAAATCTTCTTTTTTTTTTTCTCTGAGACAGAATCTTGCTTTGTCACCCAGGCTGGAGTGTTGTAGCATGATCTAGTTTCACTGCAAATTCTGCCCCAAGGTTCAAGCAATTCTTCTGCCTCAACCTCCCAAGTAGCTGGGACTACAGACAAGTGCCACCATACCCGGCTAATTTTGTATTTTTAGTAGAGACAAGATTTCTCCATGTTGGCCAGGCAGGTGTCGAACTCCTGACCTCTGATGATCTGTCCAACTTGGCCTCCCAAAGTGTTGGGATTACAGGCATGAGCCACTGTGCCCAGCTTAAATCTTCTTTTGGTTACATTTATAGGTATGTTATTAATATAAATATTTTAAAAGTTATATAAATTATAAAAATCTAATAGGGTTTCAGTCATAATTTTGATGATGTTAAATATTTTCTAAAGTTGTATGTGTATAGATATATTATTAATATAAATATTCTAAAGATTATATAAAATTTCTGGAAGTCTGATGGATCTGATGTGTTGCCATCAGTCATGATTCTGGCTGTTATCTTAAAATGCTACATATAATACAAATAACTAAATTTTCTCGAGATTTGAGAACTTCCACTGGATTTTAACCAACGGCTATTCTAAGTTTTTGTCATCCACGGTGATTGATTAAAGTTCTTCTCTAAAACCCTTTACAGGCCGGGCACGGTGCTGGAGGCCATGCAGGGCACGGTGCTGGGCATGGTGCAGGGCATGGAGGCTCATGCGTGTAAATATCCCAGCACTTTGCAAGGCTGAGGTGGGTGAATTGCTTAAACTAAGAAGTTTGAAAGCAGCCTAGGCAATATGGTAAAATCCCATCTCTACAAAAATACAAAAATTAGCCAGGCATGATGGTGCATGCCTATGGTCCCAGCTACTTCGGAGGGTGAGGTAGGAGGATGGCTTGAGTTTGGGAGGGAGAGATTGCAGTGAACCAAGATCATGCCACTGCACTCCATCCTGAGTGATAGAGCCAGACCGTGTCTCAAAAAAAAAGCCTTTACAATCAGCTATCATCTAAATTACTTTTAATGGAAAGGATTCTGACAAGTTCTCTTAAATATGGTTTCAGATAACTTTGGGGATCAAACCATTGGACTAGGAAAATCTTCCAGGACTCTAAAAAGCTGAATGAGAATTTCTAATTGAAATCAAGCAAAACACAAAAAACTGAATGAGAATTGCTATTTGAAATCAAGCAGAACAAGATTTAGTTACATGGGAGTGAACTTATAAAAGAAGGAAAAGATTTTATCCATGGCCCTCCCATTAGAAACATTGTTGATCCTCTTTATGTTTTGTTTTCCAAAGTCAATAATTTTTTTTCTTTTCAGCTATTTTTAATTTACAATACATTGGATAAACTACATTGTGAACAAAAATTTGAGCCATTTATCTGTCTCTCTAGCTGATTTCTCCAGAATTCAGAAGCCATTCGTGAGCATTCTTAAATTATGGCAATATAATTATTTGCATAATTTCAATAAGAATCTGTTTTTGGTAACAAGATTCAATTGGAGACACTGTTTGTTTTATCAAGGCTTTAACTCGAATGGCAGATACAACCAGACCACTTTAAGGAATTGAGGTTGACTTTATAGCACCAATACAAAGCCCCTTAGAATGACTGGCTTGATGTCCTGTATACAAAGGTCCTTTACAAAGTTGCTATTCTTGTGGTAAGAAATAAAGAATGTCACTTTCTGATGGGCCAGGAACCTCAAGATATTTGGGGACCTTGAGAAGAGAAGACTACACCCATTCATTAAAGTATTACAGGAGAGCTGGCAAGATGTCTGAATAGGAACAGCTCCGGCCTGCAGCACCCAGTGAGATCAACACAGAAGTCAGGTGGTTCATGCATTTCCAACTGAGCCTCCACTGGTGATACCCAGGAAAACAGGGTCTGGAGTGGACCTCCAGCAAACTCGAGCAAACCTGCAGCAGAGGGACCTGACTGTTAGAAGGAAAACTAACAAACAGAAAGGAATAGTATCGACATCACCAACATCAAAGACCAAAGGTAAATAAATCCACAAAGATGGGGAGAAACCAGTGCAAAAATGCTGAAAACTCCAAAAGTCAGAATGCCTCTTCTCCTCCAGAAGATCACAACTCCCCGCCAGCAAGGGAACAAAACTGGACAGACAGTGAGTTTGATGAATTGACAGAAGTAGGCTTCAGAAGGCGGGTAATAACAAACTCCTCCGAGCTAAAGGAGCATGTTCTAACCCAATGCAAGGAAGCTAAGAGCCTGAAAAATAAAGGTTAGATGAATTGTTAACTAGAATAACCAGTTTAGAGAAGAATATAAATGACCTGATGGAGCTGAAAAACCCAGCACAAGAACTTCATGAAGCATACACAAGTATCAATAGCTGAATCAATCAATCAGGAGAAAGGATATCAGAGATTGAAGATCAACTCAATGAAATAAAGCCAGAAGACAAGATTAGAGAAAAAAGAGTGAAAAGAAATGAACAAAGCCTCCAAGAAATAGAGGACTATGTTAAAAGTCTGAATCTACGTTTGATTGGTGTACCTGAAAGTGACAGAAAGAATGGAACCAAGTTGGAAAAAACTCTTAAGGATATTATTCAGGAGAACTTCCCTAACCTAGCAAGACAGGCCAACATTCAAATTCAGGAAATACAGAGAACACCACTAAGATACTCCTCAAGAAGAGCAACCCCAAGACACAAAATCATCAGATTCACCAAGGTTGAAATGAAGGAAAAAATATTAAGGGCAGCCAGAGAGAAAGGTTGAGTTACCAACAAAGGGAAGCCCATCAGACTAACAGTGGATCTCTTGGCAGATAGCCTACAAGCCAGAAGAGAGTGGGGGCCAATATACGACATTCCTAAAGAAAAGAATTTTCAAACCAGAATTTCATATCCAGCCAAACTAAGCTTCATAATTGAAGGAGAAATAAAATCCTTTACAAGCAAATGCTGAGAGATATTGTCACCACCAGGACTGCCTTACAAGAGTTCCTGAAGGAAGCACTAAACACGGAAAGGAACAACTGGTAACAGCCACTGCAAAAACATACCAAATTATAAAGACCATTGACACAATGAAAAAACTGCATCAACTAATGAGCAAAATAACCAGCTAGTATCATAATGACAGGATCAAATTCACACATAACAATATTAACCTTAAATGTAAATGAGCTAAATGTCCCCAGTTGAAAGACACAGTCTGGCAAATTGGATAAAGAATCAAGACCCATCAATGTGTTGTATTCAGGAGACCCATCTCATACACATAGGCTCAAAATAAAGGGATGAAGAAACATTTACCAAGCAAGTGGAAAGCAACAAAAGGCAGGGGTTGCAATCCTAGTTTCTGATAAAACAGATCTTAAGCCAACAAAGATAAAAAGAGACAAAGAAGGGCATTACATAATGGTAAAGGGATCAATGCAACAAGAAGAGCTAACTATCCTAGACATATATGCACCCAATACAGGAGCACTCAGATTCATAAAGCAAGTTCTTAAAGACCTACAAAGAGACTTAGGCTCCCACACAATAATAGTGGGAGACTTTAACACTCCACTGTCAATATTAGATAGATGAGACAGAAAATTAACAAGAATATCCAGGACTTGAACTCAGCTCTGGACCAAGTGGACCTAAAAGATATCTACAGAACTCTCCACCCCAAATCAACAGAATGTACCTTCTTCTCAGCACCGCATTGTACTTATTCTAAAATTGACCACATAATTGGAAGTAAAACACTCCTCAGGAAATGCAAAAGAATGGAAATCATAACAAACAGTCTCTCAGACCACAATGCATTCAAATTAGTATGCAGGATTAAGAAACTCACTCAAAACCTCACAACTACATGGAAACTGGGCAACCTGCTCCTGAATGACTACTGGGTAAATAACGAAATGAAGGCAGAAATAAAGATGTTCTTCAAAACCAATGAGAACAAAGACACAACGTACCAGAATCTCTGGGACACATTTAAAGCAGTGTGTAGAGGGAAATTTATAGCACTAAATGCCCACAAGAGAAAGCAGGAAAGATCTAAAATTGACACCTTAACATCAAAATTAAAAGAACTAGAGAAGAAAGAACAAACAAATTCAAAAGCTAGGAGATGACAAGACATAAATAAGATCAGAGCAGAATTGAATGAGATAGAGACATGAAAAACCCTTCAAAACATCAATGAATCCAGGAGCTGGTTTTTTGAAAAGATCAACAAAACAGACCACTAGCCAGACTAATAAAGAAGAAAAGACAGAAGAATCAAATAGATGCAATAAAAAATGATTAAGGGGATATCACCACTGATCCCACAGAAATACAAATTATCATCAGAGAATACTACAAAGACTAAACCAGGAAGAAGTCAAATTCCTGAATAGACCAATAACAAGTTCTGAAATTGAGGCATTAATCAATAGCCTACCAACCAAAAAAAGTCCAGGACCAGACGGATTCACAGCCAAATTCTACCAGAGGTACAAAGAGGAGCTGGTACCATTCCTTCTGAAACTATTCCAAACAATAGAAAAAGAGAATCCTCCCTAACTCATTTTATGAGGCCAACACAACAAAAAAAGGAAATTTTAGGCCAATATGCCTGATGAACATCAATGCAGAAATCCTGAATAAAATACTGGAAAACTGAATCCAGCAGCACATCAAAAAGCTTGTCCACCATGACCAAGTTGGCTTCATCCCTGGGATGCAAGGCTAGTTCAACATGCAAATCAATAAATGTAATCCCTCACATAAACGGAATCAATGACAAAAACTACATGATTATCTCAATAGATGCTGAAAAGGCCTTTGACAAAATTCAACAGCCCTTCATGCTAAAAATTCTCAATAAACTGGTATTGATGGAACATATCTCAAAATATTAAGTGCTATTTATGGCAAACCCACAGCCAATAACATACTGAATGTGCAAAAACTGGAAGCATTCCCTTTGAAAATCAGCACAAGACAAGGATGCCCTCTCTCACTACTCCTATTCCACATAGTGTTGGAAGTTCTGGCCAGGGTAATCAGGCAAGAGAAAGAAATACAGGGTGTTCAATTAGGAAAAGAAGAAGTCAAATTGTCTCTGTTTGCAGATGACATGATTATATATTTAGAAAACCCCATCGTCTCAGCCCAAAATCTCCTTAAGCTGATAAGCAACTTCAGCAAAGTTTCAGGATACAAAATTAATGTGCAAAAATCACAAGCTTTCTTATACACCAATAACAGACAAACAGAGAGCCAAACTATGAGTGAACTCCCATTCTCCATTGTTACAACAAGAATGAAATACCTAGGAATACAACTTACAAGGATGTGAAGGACCTCTTCAAGGAGAACTATAAACCACTCCTCAAGGAAACAAGAGAGGACACAAACAAATGGAAAAACATTCCATGCTCATCAATAGGAAGAATCAATATCGTGAAAATGGCCATACTACCCAAAGTAATTTATAGATTCACTGCTATCCCCATTAAACTCTATTGACTTTCTCCACAGAATTGGAAAAATATATTTTAAATTCCATATGGAATCAAAAAAGAGCCCGAATAGCCAAGACAATCCTAAGCAAAAAGAACAAAGCTTCAAGCATCATGCTACCTGACTTCAAACTATACTACAAGGCTATGATAAACAAAAGAGCATGGTACTGGTACCAAAACAGATATATAGATCAAAGGAACAGAACCGAACCCTCAGAAATAACACCACATATCTACAACCATCTGATCTTTGACAAACCTGAGAAAAACAAGCACTGAGGAAAGGATTCCCTATTTAATAAATGATGTTGGGAAAACTGGCTAGCCTTAGGCAGAAAGCTGAAACTGGATCCCTTCCTTACACCTTATATAAAAATTAACTCAAGATGAATTAAAGACTTAAACCTAATACCTAAAGCCGTAAAAACCCTAGAGGAAAACCTAGGCAATACCATTCAGGACATAGGCATGGGCAAAGACTTCATGACTAAAACACCAAAAACAATGGCAACAAAAACCAAAATTGACAAATGGGACCTAATTAAACTAAAGAGTTTCTGGACAGCAAAAGAAACTATGAGAGTGAAAGGGCAACCTACGAAATGGGAGAAAATTTTTGCAATCTATCCATCTGACAAAGACCTAATATCCAGAATCTACAAAGAACTTAAACAAATTTACAAGAAAGAACAATCCCATCAAAAAGTGGGCAAAGGATGTGAACAGACACTTCTTAAAAGAGGACAATTATGCAACCAAGAAACATATGAAAAAAAGCTCATCATCACTAGTCATTAGAGAAATGCAAATCAAAACCACAATGAGATGCCATCTCATGCCAGTTAGAATGGCAATCATTAAAAAGTCAGGAAACAAAAGATACTGGAGAGGATGTGGAGAAATAGGATTGCTTTTACACTGTTGGTGGGAGTGTAAATTAGTTCAACCATTGTGGAAGACAGTGTGGCTATTCCTCAAGGATCTAGAACTAGAAATGCCATTTGGCCCAGCAATCCCATTACTGGGTATATACCCAAAGGATTATAAATCATTCTACCATAAAGACACATGCACACGTATGTTTATTGCAGGACTGTTCACAATAACAAAGACTTAGAACCAACCCAAATGCCCATCAATTATAGACTGGATAAAGAAAATGTGGCACATATACACCATGGAATACTATGCAGCCATAAAAAAGGATGAGTTCATGTCCTTTGTAGGGACATGGATGAAGCTGGAAATCTTCATTCTCAGCAAACTAACACAAGAATAGAAAACAAAACACCACATGTTCTCACTCATAAGTGGGAGTTGAACAACGAGAACACAAGCACACAGGGAGGGGAACATCACACACTGGGGCATGTTGGGGGTTGGGGGCGGGGGGAGGGATAGCATTAGGACAAATACCTAATATAGGTGATGGGTTGATGGGTGCAGCAAACCACCACAGCACATGTATACCTATGTAACAAACCTCAGCATTCTGCACGTGTACCCCACAACTTAAAGTATAATAAAAACGTAGGTTAAAAAAAAGTATTACAGACACAGTATGATGCAAATCTTTGACTTGGCTAGCCTCAAGGCTTTTAAAAGTCTAAGATTCCTTAGTAGAAAGTTCCAACAAAGCCAATTTTAAGAAGCCTATATGGTCAATAAATATTCTTGCTGCACTTTATGCAAATAATCAGACCAGGTATGATAAGACTAAAACTTATTTTGCACAGAAATTTGTCCTACTATGGTTTGTCTTTGATAAAATGATGGACTAGAGAGAGAAAATTCATGTTTCAAATGAAAACTGTGACATATGCTATTAGATTCCAGCCCTGATCATTCTTTTCCGAGTTTTTATTATTTGCCTATAATTTGGGCTGAATCCTGAATTATTTCCTGGCTCCAAGTGTTCCCTAGTGAACCCAGATAAAATATATTTTTAAAAAACTTGTTTTATCCTGTCAGTAATGAGATGTATTTTTATAGGACTACTTAAACTAGCAATTACAATTCGATTATTATGATTATAGAATCTCGGGATTTATCTTCCTTCTTGTCAAGGTCTTTACCTGATGTTTGTCTCATTAAAAAAAAAAAGAAATCAGACTGATTGCACTCTACTCAAGACTGAAGACATGTACTTTAACCTGTCTCTGTTACCAGTAAACCAAAGCCTTAAATTTCAGAATCCGTCAGGGACCCTGTGTGGTCCCTGGATCAAGCACACATGGGCTTATGAATGTGTTGACCGCTGGCATATGAGAGGTAATTGTCTATTAGGTTATGTGGCTCTTCCTCTTCCTATTTATAACTCCAATGTTTCTGAACGCTGAAGTAGTTCATCGAAATTATTTTCCAGGATTAGACAAACCGTACCTGCAAACCAAGGAGATGAATTTTGGCCTATGTTTGGCAGAAATCTCTTGCAATGGTGGGGAGTAACCTCTCATGAACGTATAATTAGAAATCTGTCAACCACTCTAGGTAACTTAGCAAATGAACTAGCTGAAGCCATAGCTACCAAATAAAGATCTTCAGACTCTTTATTCAGGATAGTCATGGATGACGGAATAACTTTAGGCTACATAGTGGTGAAACAGGGAGAAACTCATATGGCAGCTAGCTAACACTTCATGTTGTGTTTAGATCCATACATCTTCTGAAGTTGAAACACGTGTAAAAAAATAAGACGATATGGGAATTAATTATGACAAATCCTAGGGAAGAGGCTGAAAGAGCTGTAACACAAACAGGGCTGAGACATGCCCCTTGCTCGCCACATTGTGGGCAAAGAGAAGGAAAGAAGAGCTATGGCCCTTTGGGGAGCCCAGACCTGGGAGCTCCCTGAGCCAGAGCTGTGATTCCTTCTTTGGGGCCTTTGGTTCCTGATATCTCCAAGCTTCTGGGTGCCACTGTGTTCCCAGTGTGCCAGCTGTGGAAGCTTCTTGAGGTGCCCGTGGTCCAGCCACAGCCTTGTGGAGAGCTGGCGCCCGTGTTGGCACCTGGAGCTACCTGCTCCACTTCAGCAGCCAGCAAATCTGACTGCACAGTGACCAGACCCCATGCTCACTCACACACCCCTTGCCACTCCATGCAGTCTCCCTTGGCAGGCATGGGATCCAACGTGGTAGCATGAGCAGAGCACAGCCTGCCAGGCTGAGTGTGCGGGGCCCAGCAAAACTCAGGCAAAGGTGCCACCAGTCATAGAGGTTTCTGTCCAGAAAAGTAACACCCCAAAGATCCCATAACACCGCTACTCTTCCCAGCCTCTGGAAACTCTCAGTCTACTCTCTATCTTGATGAGTTCAATTGTTTTAATTTTTAGCTCCCACAAATGAGTGAGAACATGCGAAGTCTGTCTTTCTGTGCCTGGCTCATTGTACTTAACATAATTGTCCTCTAGTTCCATCCATGTTGTTGCAAATGACAGAATCTTATTCTTTTTCATGGCCGAAGAGTACTCCATTGTGTATATGTACTACATTTTCTTTATCCCTTCATCTGTTGATGCACACTTAGGTTGCTTCCAAATCTTGGCTATTATGAATAGTGCTGAAATAAATATGGGAATGCAGATATCTCTTTGATATACTAATTTTCCCTCTCTTGGGTATATACCCAGCAGTGGGATTGCTGGATCATATGATAGTTCTATTTTTAATTTTTTGAGGGACCTCCATATTGTTCTCCATAGTGAATATATTAATTTACATTCCCACCAACAGAGTAAGAGTGTTCCCTTTTCCCCAAATTCTTGAAAGCATTTGTTATTGCCTGTCTTTTGCATAAAAGCCATTTTAATGGGGTAAGATGATATATTTTTGTTGTTTTGATTTCAATTTCTGTCATGATAAATGATATTGAGCATCTTTTCATATACCTATTTGACATTTATATATGTTCTTTTTTGTTTTTGCTCATTTTTTGAGACAGGGTCTCACTCTGTCACCCAGGCTGGAGTGCAGTGGTATGATCATGGCTTAATGTAGTGTTGACTGCCAGGGTTCAAGCAATCCTCCCACCTCAGCCTCCTGAGTAGCTGGGACCACAGTCATGCATCACCATGCCCAGGTAGTTTTTAAAATTATTTGCTATGTTGTTCAGGTTGGTCTTGAACTCCTGGGCTCAAGTGGCCCACCCGTCTTGGCTCCCCAAAGTTCTGGAATTACATGTGTCAGCCACTGCGCCTGACCTGTGTGCCTTCTTTTGTGAACTGTCTGTTCAGATCTTTTGCCTATTTAAATAATTGGATTGTTAGTTTTTTTCTTGTAGAGTTGTTTGAGCTCCTTATATATTCTGGTTATTAATCCCTTGTCAGTTATATAGTTTGCAAATATTTTCTTCCATTCTGTGGATTGTCTTTTCACTTTGTCCATTGTTTTCTTTACTGTGCAGAAACTTTTGAACTTGATGTGATACCACTTGTTCATTTTTGCTTTGGTTGCCTGAGCTTTTGGAGTATTACTCAAGAAATCTGTGCCAAGACCAATTTCCTGGAGAGTTTCCCTAATGTTTTCTTTCAGTAGTTTCGTGTCTTTGATTTAAGTCTTTAACCCATTTGGATTTGATTTTTGTATATAGTGCAAGAGAGGGTTCTAGTTTAACTATTCTGCCAATGACTTTGGGAGGCCAAGGTGGGCGGATCATGGGGGCAGGAGATCGAGACCATCCTGGCTAACACGGTGAAACTCCGTCACTACTAAAAGTACAAAAAAAAAATTAGCCAGGCGTGGTGGTGGGCACCTGTACTCCCAGCTACTTGGGAGGCTGAGGAGGAGAATGGTGTGAACCCGGGAGGTGGAGCTTGCAGTGAGCCCAGATCGCGCCACTGCACTCCAGCCTGAGCAACAGAGCTAGACTCCATCTCAAAAAAAAAAAAAAATCTGCCAATGAATATCTAGTTTTCCCAGCACAATTTGTTGAAGAGACTGTCCTCTCCCCCATGTATATTCTTGGCACCTTCATTGAAAATGAGTTAATTGTAAATGTATGGATTTATTTCTGGGTTCTCTATTCTGTTCCATTGGTCTATGTGTCTGTTTTATGCCAGTACCATGGTGTTTTGTTTATAATTGCTCTGTACTATAATTTAAAGTCAGGTGATGTGATTCTTCCAGTTTTGTTCTTTTTGCTCAGGATGGCTTTTGGTATTCTGGGTCTTTTATGGTTTCATGTAAATTTTAGGATTTTTTTTCTATTTCTGTGAAGAAAGTTATTAGTATTTCAATAGGGATTGCATTGAATCTGTAGATTGCTTTGTGAAGTATGGGTATTTTAACAATATTTACTCTTCCAATAAATGAACATGGACTATCTTTCCATTTTTTTTTTGGTGTCCTCTTTAATTTTTTTGCATCTATGTTTTATAGTTTTCATTGTAGAGATCTTTCACTTCTTCTGTTATGTTTATTCCCAGTTATTTTATTTTATTTGTAGCTATTGTAAATGGGATTACATTCTTGATTTTCTTCTTTAGATTGTTCATTTTTGTCATTTAGAAATGCTACTGACTTTTGTAGTTTGATTTTGTATGCTGTGACTCTGAATTTGTTGATCAGTTCTAATAGTTTTTTGGTGGAGTCCTTAGGTTTTTCCAAATATAAGAGCTAATCATCTGCAAACAAGAAACAGTAATAATTTTACTTCTTTCCAATTTGGATCCCTTTTATTGTTTTTCTCTTGTCTGAATTGCTCTAGCTAGGACTTCCAGTACTATGTTGAGTAACAGTGTTGGAAGTGGACATTCTTGTCTTGTTCCAGATCTTAGAAGAAAGGCTTTCAGCTTTTCCCTGTCCAGGATGATACTGGCTGTGGGTCTGTTGCATATGGTTTTCATTGTGTTGTGGTATGTTCCTTCTATATCTAGTTTTTTTTGAGGGTTTCTTTTTATCACAGGGATGTTGAATTTTATTAAATGCTTTTCAGCATCAATTGAAATTATCATATGGTTTTTGTCCTTCATTCTGTTGATATGATGTGTCACATTGATTGATTTGCATACATTGAACCATGTTGGCATCCTTGGGATAAATCCCACTTAGACATGATGAATGGTCTTTTTCATAGGATGAGTTTGGAAATACTACAGCCTTCTCTGTTTTTTTTGAATAGTTTGAGTAGGATTGATAGTAATTCTGCCTTCAATGTTTGGTAAAATTAATCAGTGAAGCCAGTGAAGCCATTGAATCCAGGCTTTTCTTTGCTAGGACATGTTTTATTAAGGCTTCAATTTCATTTATCCATTTCTTCTAGGTTTTTTTTTTTTTTGAGATGGAATCTTGCTCTCTCACCCAGACTGCAGCGTGGTACAATCTCAGCTCACTGCAACCTCTGCCTCCCAGGTTCAAGTGATTTTCCTGCCTCAGCCTCTAGAGTAGCTGGAAGTACAGGTGCATGCCACCATGCCTGGCTAATTTTTGTATTTTTAGTAGAGATGGGGTTTCACCATGTTGACCAGGCTGGTCTTGAACTACTGACCTCAGGTGATCACCTGCCTTGGCTTCCCAAAGTGTTGGGATTACAGGCATGAGCCACGGTGCCCAGCCATTTCTTCCAGGTTTTTCAATTTATTGGAATATAGTTGGTCATAATAGTTTCTAATGATTCTTTGAATTTCCACAGTATCAGTTATAGTGTCTCCTTTTTAATCTCTGGTTTTATGTATTTGAATCTTCTCTCTTTTTTCTTAGTCTGGTTAAGTGTTTGTTGATTTTGTTGGTCTTTTAAAAATATTAACTTTTCATTTCATTGATATTTTATATTTTTAAATTTCAATTTCATTTATTTCTGCTCCGATCTTTGCTATGTTTCCTTCTACTAATTTTGGTTTTGGCTTGCTCTTGCTTTTCTAATTATTTAAGATGCATTATTAGGTTGTTTATTTGAAGCTTTTCTACTTTTTTTGATGTAGGTGCTTTTATCTATAAACTTACCTCTTAGTACTGTAGTACTGTTTTTACTGTATCCCATAGGTTTTTTTTTTTTTTTTTTTTTTTTTTTTGTTTTTTTTTTTTTTTTGAGATGGAGTCTCGTTCTGTTGCCCAGGCTGGAGTGCAGTGACGCGATCTCGGCTGACTGCAAGCTCCGCCTCCCAGGTTCACACCATTCTCCCGCCTCAGCCTCCCGAGTAGCTGGGACTACAGGCGCCTGCCTTCACGCCCGGCTAATTTTTGTTTTTTGTATTTTTAGTAGAGACGGGGTTTCACCGAGTGCGCCCGGCCTGTACCCTAGGTTTTGGTTTGACTTTAAACTTTTTCTTTTCTCGAAAACTCAGTGTCATGGTACCGGCTTCTTGTGCTTTGGGCAGTGAGACCCTTTTACTTGATAACAGTGGTAGCTGGGACAAGTTGGCAATGTAAATAAATAAACAACATCTAGATTGGAAAGGAAGAAGTACAGTTATCTTTATGTACAGATGACATGATCTTGCATTTAGAAAATCGTAAGAAATTTACTAAAAAGTATTAGGACTCATGAACAAACTTAAGAATGTAACACTATATAAGATTGGTATACAAAAATAACTGTATTTCTTTACCAATAAATCAAGAATCCAAAAATGGAATTAAAAAAATAAATCTTGTTACAATAGAATTAAAGCTGGGGAAGCTTAAACTTGAACACTAAAAACTACAATACATGGTTAGCGTTGGAAACACCCAGATACCATCCCTGAGCCTTCTCTCCTTGGCTCTGAGGGCTTTACCTTCACGGGGTGAGGAAAGGGGTTGCATTCTTGGCTTTTACATTATATTAGGTGGGTTCGGGTTGAGGTATCTGCAATTCAAATGAGTATTACAATCTCTACTTTTATGGATAAGAGACTGAGGCCCACCAAGAGAGGGAATGACAGTCCATATCCTGGAAGGCGAATTGTCAGGCACTGATTTCCGCTATTTAACCCCTGCCAATCATCATGTATTTAAAGGATCCCCAGATACCATACCAATAGGTGTTCAAGAGAGAGGCCTGTAATCTAGGCGTCTGAGAAAACAAGGCTAGAGATTCCAATATTGGAGACAACAGGGCTCTGGGAAGATTAAGGTTGAGTTTTCTGGATCTGCAGAATAGAGTCACTGAGGACCAATTGCAAGATCAGAGGAGATGAAAGAACAAGTCAGGGCATGCTTAGGAAAAGAGAATACCAGGGATAGGTTTTAGGCAAGAGTCACACTGAGGAAGGGCAGGTTCTTGGCGTCGTTTAGGAAGAAATCCAAAAGCAAGCCTGTGGTGGAAGAAAGCAGCTCTACGGAGGCATTGGCGGTGTTACAGCACTGCGTCCACTCCGGCAGGGCAGGGAGCCCTCCGTGGGTTGTGCTCCCAGAGCAGCAGCCTAGGGGTGGCTTGTAGTCATTTTTATAATTCACTTTTAATGGCATGCTAATTAAGGGGCGGGTTATTCAGAAATAGCTAGAAATGGGCAGTAACTTCCATCTGTTTCCATGGCAAGGGGTGGGGACTTCTCGTGATGACATGGCATTGGCAAACTGTCATGGCACTGGTGGGAGCGTCTTCTGGTGATCTGAGGCGTGAGGTGCTTTCGCTGCCTCTCCCAGGTTCCTGCGTGCCTCTTACCTGAAAGCCCATCACACCCCCATCTGCCCACCTACAAACGTCACTGCCCTTTCACCCCATCCCCGTTTCACACGCACTCCCACATCAACCCTGAGCATTCAAGCCTGCGTTTCCCTGTTAGGAACCTCGGTGGTAGCCGGAGCTCTGAGAAACCCCTAGGCAGAACTCCTTGCCTAGTTTGTGGCAGACATCAGGGAAGGAAAGGCAAATTTCAGGTCTTTCTCACAATAAATAAATAAAGATAGGTAGATTTGATTGATGGATGGATGGATGAAACCTGGGAGTCTACGGGCAAATATTTATCAGACACTGGAAGTGTAAGTTGTCACAAAGATTATGGAGTGCACCTGTCTTATGACCCTGTTATTTTATCCTAGTATGTGCACTAGAGCATATTTTCTAACAGTGTAAATTGAAGGCTCACAAATTAGTTTAGTGAGAGAAAAGATAACGGATTGGAAGAGAATTACCATATTCATTAGTTGTGTTTTAAAATTTTTAAAGTAAAATAGAGACATTATTTTTTTCATGCTTTCGAATGCATCTATAAAAAATAGACTTGAGGGCTGGGCGCAGTGGCTCACGCTTGTAATCCCAGCACCTTGGGAGGCCGAGGAGGGCGGATAACGAGGTCAGGAGTTGGAGACCAGCCTGACTAACATGGTGAAAACCCGTCTCTACTAAAAATACAAAAATTAGGCGAGTGTGGTGGCACGCGCCTGTAATCCCAGGTACTTAGGAGGCTGAGGCAGGAGAATCGCTTGAACCCGGGAAGCGGAGGTTGCAGTGAGCCGAGATCGCACCATTGCACTCCAGCCTGGGCGACAGAGTGAGACTCCTTCTCAAAAAAAAAAAAAAAAAAAAAAAAAAAAAAAAAAAAAAAACTTATTCATAGCATAGACCAATTGGCCTCTATTGAAATTTCTCCATTATTTTCACAATGTCCCAGGCTGTGAAACCAGGATTTAATAAAGAACCAGAATGCCACATCTGTGTCACCTGGGTAGGGACCAGTCCTGATACATTAACTCCGGGTCTCTGGGTAACTGGACTCAACTGCTGGGCAAAACAGAATGTCCGGCTTGGGTTCCTAACGGGGTACCGCAAAGCCTCATGGGAATTGTAGTGTCACCTTCCAATGATGTTACCATCAAGGACCTTGGGAACCAGCTTTTCTCTCTGCGCTTGCGCCGCCCGGCCCACTCCGCCATTTTCCTCCGGAAGTGCGGCACCCAGAGGCCGTCCTGTAGCCGGGCCGGCTTGGGGCTTGGTTCTATGTCCCTGCGGGTCGGTGCAAGGGCGAAGAGGAACCCGTGGGCCTCAGGGGATCCCGGGGGGCCGGACCAGTGTTCCCTAGTTGTGGGAGCAGACGCGTGGGCACATTGCGGGCGGGCAGGGCCTGAAGTGCAGGTGCGGGCAGTGGACCCTGGCGGGGGCTGGGAGGACAGGCGTGGGGTCCCGGCAGTGAAACGGGTTCTAGAGGCGCAGGAGCAGGTAGGAGAGGCCGGTGGCCCTGGGCCCGGAGTCTGCAGGCCGCGCTCCTGTCCTGCCGCTGAGGGACCCGGTTACCAACCTGCATGACGCTCAGTTTGCCCATCTGTCCCAGTGGTAACACACAGTTCTCGGGAGACGTTCCCCATTCCCAGAGGAGTAGTGTGAAACGCGTGCGCCTCTAGTCTTAAACTTGGCGTTTGTATTAGTTGGGTTTCCTGGTGTCTCTTTAGCAAGTGAAGTTTCTGGTTCCCTCCTTCACTGTGTGACCTGCCTAGTCCTCCTGGGTCGCATTTACAGAAGTTTATACGAGACCTAGTTTCCAGGGAAGAACTCACTGATTCCGCGAGGGAGATGGCTTAATGGATGATGGTCGTCAGCCTTAAGGATACTTCAGTCTTAACTGTGTGTTACAAAGTTTGAAAGGGAGGGTTCCCTATGAATAAGAAGCACACTTGAAAGAACAGCCATCTGGTCTAACCTCTCACTGGTGCTTCAGAGGAGGAAAAAAGGTCACAGGTGAAGATCCCAGTTTTCCTTGCTCAGGAAATATTAATTCTACTCCCTAGAATGCACAAGATTTGCAAAGACTAGGTGATAGTAGAAGGTTTGGACGAACTTTCAGAAGGTTGAGGTGAATTCAGCTAAGAAGAACAGGCAAGGACTTAGGAAATATTCCTTATTTGAAGGGGCCTGAAAGTGTGGTCTGGGGTACAGCAGTGACCTGTCATACTTGAGAGGATTAAAATACTCTCCAAACACAGTCCCATTCCTTCAACCTTAGCTCGTTTTTTCCAGCGTCTGAGATACATTAAACCTAGTCCATCCCCAAATTTAACATTAGATTGCGAAGTTCTATTGATTGTATTTGATTTGTAATTTAACATTTTCTCCCCCTACGTAATTTTGTTAAAAACACAGAAGTGAATTCTGTTCACTTAGGTGTAACAGTTAATACTTGCTGTTTAAGGAACTAATTAAACCTTACTGGCTTATAAAAAACAACCACCATTTTATTTGTTCGAAGTTCTGTGGATCTGCACTTTGGTGTGGTGGGTTCAGCTGGGTAGTTAATATATTTGTGTTGCCTGGATCACAAAAAGGCCTCAGTCACCTGGTGCCTTGACTGAGCCTGGTTGGTTTAAGATAGTTTACTTCACAATCTGGTGGTTTGTGGTGACTCTTGGCTAGGCCCTGTGTCTCCAACAGGGTAGCTCCAGACTTCTTCACAATTTCCCCCAAAAAGGAAAGAACCAATGGATATTTGCATCACATTTTCCATTTTCCATTCACTGGACAAGTCAGATGGAAAAGCCCAATTTATTGTCAGAGCATAATATGAGGGCTTGGATAGAAGGAAAGGTGTTATTGGGAAACATGAGTAGAATGGTGTACTGCAGGAAATACATATTATGTACATTTTAAAAAACGTAATTGTAGGCCAAAATTGCTGGTTTGCAAGATGCACTTTCCATGATGTTCAGGTATAGAAAAGCAAGATGTACTGTCATAGGAACACTCATATGAAGTTATTTGTGGAATCTACATATTAATAGGAAAATAGTTAATACAGCCCAGTATATTTCTATAACATTTATTTTAGTGAACTTATAATGTTTCTTTGTATTAAATTATTAGATTATATCTTTAGATAATATTGTTACTAAATTAGTAGGTAATATATATTTTTATTCAAAAATAAATTGTGCATCTAATGTCTACCAATTAATGTACTTGTAGATGTATCTTATCTTAACTTGAGTCTTTGCTGCCCCTAATGAGGTGTGAAGGACTCTTCTCCCCTGGGGAAGTTTTTCTTTTTCAGGAGGGAGGAGGGCTTTCCCAGGTAATGTGTCTAGAGTGTTGGGCAGAAGAATCTGGGACCACACCACACCAGTTCTCTCCTTAATCCACGTCATTTGCCTTCTATCCCAGCTATGTTTCCAGTGTCCTCTGGGTGTTTCCAAGAGCAACAAGAAATGAATAAATCTCTGGTGAGTTGTTTATTTGTTCTTCACTTTGTTTTACACTGTATTTTCTGAGTTTATGGGTGTCTGTGAATTAAAAAGGAAAAGTAGAAATAAGTAAAACTCAGGTTGAAGGAAATATACATAAATAAGATAAAGCTGACCTGTAGATATAGGCAGGTTATAAGAGCTTAGAGTTGTCTAAGTTGAGTGCAAATTTTCCTCTGATCTTTCTGATGCCGAGACAAAAAAGGCAGTCATGTTTGTTATGTGATTGGAATGGAACCCGAGAAGAGAGCATGCTGTGTTCTTGTGGGACAGGAAAGCTTGCGTGCACCAAGTCTGAACCACCACCTTCATTGGTGACATAGATTATGTGCTGGAACATATTTCACACCGGCCTGGCAGTAAACACTTGTAGTGTTGTGCAGTGGAAACGGTCATCTTCCGCTAAAGCACGGCGTGTTGTGCAGCGGAAATGGTCATCTGCTGCTAAAGCACAGCTTCCATCGTAATGTATGCTCCTTGCTCAAAGAGTGTGGTCCCAAACAGCCTTTGGGAGGTCCTCCTTGATTCATGGATGAAACCTGGAACATCTTGAGGACTGAGTTAACCATAGGTCCTTAAATAACTCTCCACACGTTTTTCTTAGTTTATCTCTACATGC
This sequence comes from Homo sapiens, assembly GCF_000001405.40. Lineage (NCBI taxonomy): Eukaryota > Metazoa > Chordata > Mammalia > Primates > Hominidae > Homo > Homo sapiens. The sequence goes on from NC_000021.9 coordinate 9,327,939, forward strand.
AGGGTGTGCAGCAGCCTGTTCAAAGTCATATTTTCTGGGAAATATTTCCAGTGTTTATTTGCACTTTAGCCCACTCTGTGTAGCCTTATTTCTTCTAAACTCACCATTAACCTGAATAATAGTCAAATTTAGGGGGACTGTATTTGCCTTACTTGAGTCTTCTACCATAGTTGAAACTGTCGTACCCGAGTGAGTTAGAGAGAAATGCCACGCATTGAGACGAATTCAGGAGTCCTTTACTAGCCAGCGACTGAGACATGGCTAACGCACGAAATTCTCTCGGCCCTGAAGAAGGGACTAGATTTTCTTTTATACTTTGGTTTAGAGAGGGGAGGGGGGATTCTAGCTGCAACAACTTTACAGAAGAAAAAAACAGACAAAAAACTTAGAAAAACAGATGGTTACAGGAAAACAAACTGTTCCTGGTGTAGGGTCTTTAAATTCACCACAAAGTGATAGGTGAGGGGGCTCTGGGCATTATCTGCCGGACAAATGTGGGGGCTTTATGATACTATCTCTGAGTAAATTGCTGGGAACTGGGGACATCTCTTGTCTCAGCACTTTATCAGTTATTTGCACGCTTTGATATGTTGAAAATCAGCTTGCACAAGTTAAAGTCCTTGAGGAAAGGGGGTGGGTAAGGAGTCCTTGATGTCTTGTTAATGAAGGAGCCAAATGGAGTTTGTCTGGTTTTCTCAGCTAAGGGAGAGTCTATTCATATTAAAAACAAGGTTAGCTGTCTAAGGAAGAGTCTATTCATGTTAATACAACGTTGGGTATTACAAAACGTCTGTTCATGATCTGGAAATTCTTCTGTGTTAGTTCTGTTAAAAGAAAAACTTTAAAGGAGTTTAATTTAGCAATAAACGATTCATGAATCGGACAGTCCCCAGAATCACAGCAGATTCACAGAGACTCCAGTGCAGTCATGTGGTGGAAGAAGATTTATAGACAAAAGGGAAGTGGCATACCGAAATCGGAAGTGAGGTACAGAAACAACTCAGCGTTTGCCTTGTTTGAACACATTTTGAACATTTGGCAGTGCCTGAGTGGTTGAAGTTTGGCCATTGGGATTGGCCAAGATGTAGCTGTTGTTCCAGGTGCATACTCTTAAGTTAGTTTTTCATTCTTGTATACCTATTAAGGTAGGTTGCAGTTCACCCACAAGGACTCATATATAGAATTATGGAGTCCTTCTCAGGCCATACTTAGTTCACTTTAACAATGCCTTCCCTTTGGTTATTTTCTCAATTTTGAGAGATTGGCCGAAACTTCAGTCACTGGTGTCACTATTACCATTGCAAATGTACTTACTTGGTTTAGAAACCCACTGGGAAATAGACCAGTGAGATTTGAAAAGGTGGAACAAGGACTTGAGTAGAAGGTATCTTCTTATGCTGGAACATCCTGTTTACAGGAGAAAAACAAAACCTGGTTTGTTCTAGGATTTATGTGTTTCCCTAAAGTCTTAGTTTGATTATGTTACATTTAGCATGAGTGACTCCATTTTGGTTTGGTTTGGTTTGGTCTGTTGGGACCTATTGCATGAGCTTAGTTCAAAACAATGGCCTCCCATAATTTTGCTTTAAAAATTCCTCCTTTTTGCTGGGTGTGGTGGCTCACACCTGTAATCCCAGCACTTTGGGAGCCTGAGGTGGGCAGATCACGAGGTCAGGAGATTGAGACCATCCTTGCTAATATGGTGAAACCCCATCTCTACTAAAAATACAAAAAATTAGCCAAGTGTGGTGGCGGGTGCCTGTATTCCCAGCTACTCAGGAGGCTGAGGCAGGAGAATGGCCTGAACCCGGGAGGCAGAGCTTGCAGTGAGCCAAGATCATGCCACTGCACTCCACTCTGGGGGACAGACCAAAACTCTGTCTTAGAAAAAAAAAATCCTCCTTTTCAGTCAAGTTCTCACTTAGTTGAGAGTGTGACCAAAATGTAGGGCCTTAGCATCACTCTTAGTTACCATTGTTTTGGGTTCCAGTTTTAGCATGTCATTCCCATTGTTTTGGGTTTCTGGTTTAGCACATCACTCCCATTGTTTTGGGTTCCGGTTTTAGCACGTCATTCCCATTGTTTTGGGTTTCTGGTTTAGCACGTCACTCTCATTGTTTTGGGTTCCTGTTTTAGCACGTCACTCCCATTGTTTTGGGTTCTGGTTTAGCACGTCACTCACATTGTTTTGGGTTCTGGTTTTAGCACCTCACTCCCATTGTTTTGGGTTTCCAGGTTTTAGCACGTCACTCCCATTGTTTTGGGTTTCTGGTTTAGCACGTCACTCCCATTGTTTTGGGTGTCTGGTTTTATCACGTCACTCCCATCGTTTTGGGTTTCTGGTGTAGCAGGACACTCCCATTGTTTTGGGTTTCTGGTTTTAGCACTTCACTCCCATTGTTTTGGGTTTCTGGTTTAGCAGGACCCTCCCATTGTTTTGGGTTTCTGGTTTTAGCATGTCACTCCCATTGTTTTGGGTTCCGGTTTTAGCACGTCACTCCCATTGTTTTGGGTTCCGGTTTAGCACGTCATTCCCATTGTTTTGGGTTCAGGTTTTAGCACATCACTCCCATTGTTTTGGGTATCTGGTTTTAGCATGTCACTCCCATTGTTTTGTGTATCTGGTTTTAGCACCTCACTCCCATTGTTTTGGGTTTCCAGGTTTTAGCACGTCACTCCCATTGTTTTGGGTTTCTGGTTTATCATGTCACTCTCATTGTTTTGGGTTTCTGGTTTAGCAGGACGCTCCCATTGTTTTGGGTTTCTGGTTTTACACGTCACTCCCATTGTTTTGGGTTTCTGGTTTAGCAGGACACTCCCATTGTTTTGGGTTTCTGCTTTAGCGGGTCACTACCATTGTTTTGGGTTCCGGTTTAAGCACATCACTCCCATTGTTTTGGGTTCCGGTTTTAGCACATCACTCCCATTGTTTTGGATTTCTGGTTTAGCAGGTCACTCCCATTGTTTTTGGTTCTGGTTTAAGCACATCACTCCCGTTGTTTAGGGTTCTGGTTTTAGCACCTCACTCCCATTGTTTGGGTTTCTGGTTTTGCAGGTCACTCCCATTGTTTTGGGTTCCAGTTTAAGCACATCACTCCCATTGTTTTCGTTTCCGGTTTTAGCACGTCACTCCCATTGTTTTGGGTTCCAGTTTTAGCAAGTCACTCCCATTGTTTTGGGTTTCTGGTTTAGCATGTCACTCCCATTGTTTTGGGTTTCCAGTTTAGCATGTCACTCATAGGTTATGGTGGCCTTATGGTTGCACATTTTTTTTAATCTCTTGTCATTCCAGTTGAAGAGATACCATTTGACATTTTAGAGATGGCTGCATGCAAACTCTTGAAACATTTGAGTAAGTACAGTACACCAGGGAGACTCTTATGACTATTGGGATAACACCAAGATGTGGTATATGCTCCTTACTCAGGGTCCCCATAAATCAAACCACCAAAAATCAAATAGATTAAAGAATGAATTAGATAAAGGGTTTACTTGCTTAACTAAGTGGTTTTTTTTTGTTAATTCCCTACAACCAAATCTTTATAATACCCCATGTTTTCTCCACATGCTGTAAGTGTTAGCAGCTGCACAGATACTTAAGATAAGAGTCTCATGATAGTAGAGAAGTCTTGATCTGTGATCTTGGGAAAAGCTGTTCACATTAAGGATGCCATCTTCTTCTGGGGGGAACTGTCCGTGTTAGCTTTACCTTAAGGGTTCCAATAGGCATATGGTTCTGAGTGTGGAGGGACCCTTCTGAGTTGTGAGACTATGAACCCAAAGTTTAAGGTTTTAAAGTTTTGTTGTCATGTGGATGGCGAGGGCAGTCCTTCTCTGATGTTCTCAGAAGATCCAGTCATCAGATTCTAGATTTTGAAGGGTTTGACTGTCCTCAGTGAACCATAAAAGGCTTTCTTTACCTGGTGAAAATACACTTCAGGGTAATAATCTACTGTTTTAACATCAACTCTCTCGCATGGAAGAGCTTTTATACAATCAGAAAACATGCACTGAAAATGACAACTGAATGAAATCCCTTTATAAAATGTTTAAATGGCCCATCAGATAACCAAATGTACCTAAAGTTTTGATTGTTTTCCTAGGAATATAGGTTTCACAAACCAAACATTGGTTATAAACTATTTTAGCAGTTTAGAAATCACCACACCAATATATTTAATTTGGATCGTTTTCTCTTTCTGTGATGAGTTATGGAATGCAGAACTTTTAATAACAAAAGTTTTTAGGACTTAAGAAGGATAAGGTGGCCATCCTGGTTCTTTATAGGTCTGTGCTTAATTAACATCAGACTTACATCCTCTTGAATACCAGCTGTTTCTCCAAATTAGGTGCATGGCACTGGTAACTGATGAGTAGTTATAGGTAATTTGATTTAGACCATGGAGTTTATTTAAATTATATATCTAAACAATTTCAATATTGGTGATTTAGCATGAAAATGTGGCATAATATTTCCTTGGTATACAATTTTTGTTTTACTTGGGTTAGCAGTTTTACAAACCAGTTGGTCTTTTTATTAAATTTTTGATATTTTTTTTTTTGAGACAGAGTCTCACTCTGTTACCTAGGTTGGAGTGCAGTGGCACAATCTTGGCTCACTGCAACCTCTGCCTCCTGGGCTCAAGCAATTCTCTTGCCACAGCCTCCCGAGTAGCTGGGATTACAGGCACATACCACCACACCCAGCTAATTTTTGTATTTTTAGTAGAGGTGGGGTTTCACCTTTGGCCAGGCTGGTCTCAAACTCCTGACCTCAAGTGATCCACCGGCCTTGGCCTCCTAAAGTGCTGGGATTGCCGACATGAGCCGCTGCACCCAGCCTAACTGTTGAGAATTCTTAGCCAGTCCAATTCTTGGGGTATCGGGGAACTTATGGGGAATTTTTACCCATGATATTAAAGTTATTAGAAATCTGTGTTCACGAGTGTTTTTCAGGGTCATTTTCATTCTTTCATGAATCTTCTAAGAGACACCATACTCTAGAATTTTGCATGCTTGTGAAGTTTTTAGAAACTGCATCACTATTAAGCAATTAACTGTGAAATGACTTTAGTTATAGTTAAAGACAATTGACAAGGAAATTTGGTTATTTCTGTGGTCTACAATAACTTAATAACCATAATTAGGGTGGATGTGGTGGCTCATGCCTGTAATCCCAGCACTTTGGGAGGCCGAGGTGGAAGGATCATGAGGTCAGGAGATCGTGACCATCCTGGCTAACACGGTGAAATCCATCTTTACTAAAAATACAAAAATTAGCCTGGCATGGTGGTGGGTGCCTGTAGTCCCAGCTACTCGGGAGGCTGAGGCAGGAGAATGGCATGAACCCGGGAGGCGGAAGTTGCAGTGAGCCGAGATTGCGCCACTGTACTCCAGCCTGGGTGACAGAGCAAGACTCCATCTCAGAAAAAAAAAAAATACAAGAATTTTAGAAATCCTACACAATTTTAGAATGGATTGATGACACACACTAAATATAACCTGAGGAAGGTTCCACATTATTTTTTATTTTGACAGTGCTACCCATGTGACTTAACATGTTAAATAGTCCTGTTTACCTCTCTTTTGGGTGCTTCAGGGGTCTCTGTAGTATCCCAAAATTAGAGGTCAGAAAAGACAATTTTGAAGTTGAAATTTGATTTTGGGAAGCCTATTAAATATATTAAAGGTTTAAACACTTGATGTTATGAAATAGAATTCCACGTCACCGTAAGTCATTCATTTACCAAAAATCATGACAAAAAATTTTTATTATTTTTTTATTTTTATTTTTTATTATACTTTTAGTTTTAGGGTACATGTGCACATTGTGCAGGTTAGTTACATATGTATACATCTGCCATGCTGGTGTGCTGCACCCACTAACTCGTCATCTAGCATTAGGTATATCTCCCAATGCTATCCCTCCCCCCTCCCCCCACACCACAACAGTCCCCAGAGTGTGATATTCCCCTTCCTGTGTCCATGTGATCTCATTGTTCAATTCCCACCTATGAGTGAGAATATGCAGTGTTTGGCTTTACGTTCTTGCAATAGTTTACTGAGAATGATGATTTCCAATTTCATCCATGTCCCTACAAAGGACATGAACTCATCATTTTTTATGGCTGCATAGTATTCCATGGTGTATATGTGCCACATTTTCTTAATCCAGTCTATCATTGTTGGACATTTGGGTTGGTTCCAAGTCTTTGCTATTGTGAATAATGCCGCAATAAACCTACGTGTGCATGTGTCTTTATAGCAGCATGATTTATAGTCCATTGGGTATATACCCAGTAATGGGATGGCTGGGTCAAATGGCATTTCCAGTTCTAGATCCCTGAGGAATCGCCACACTGACTTCCACAATGATTGAACTAGTTTACAGTCCCACCAACAGTGTAAAAGTGTTCCTATTTCTCCACGTCCTCTCCAGCACCTGTTGTTTTCTGACTTTTTAATGATTGCCATTCTAACTGGTGTGAGATGGTATCTCATTGTGGTTTTCATTTGCATTTCTCTGATGGCCAGTGATGATGAGCATTTTTTCATGTGTTTTTTGGCTGCATAAATGTCTTCTTTTGAGAAGTGTCTGTTCATGTCCTTCGCCCACTTTTTGATGGGATTGTTTGTTTTTTTCTTGTAAATTTGTTTGAGTTCATTGTAGATTCTGGATATTAGCCCTTTGTCAGATGAGTAGGTTGCGAAAATTTTCTGCCGTTTTGTAGGTTGCCTGTTCACTCTGATGGTGGTTTCTTTTGCTGTGCAGAAGTTCTTTAGTTTAATAAGATCCCATTTGTCAATTTTGGCATTTGTTGCCATTGCTTTTGGTGTTTTAGACATGAAGTCCTTGCCCATGCCTATGTCCTGAATGGTAATGCCTAGGTTTTCTTCTAGGGTTTTTATGGTTTTAGGTCTAACGTTTAAGTCTTTAATCCATCTTGAATTGATTTTTGTATAAGGTGTAAGGAAGGGATCCAGTTTCAGCTTTTTACATATGGCTAGCCAGTTTTCCCAGCACCATTTATTAAATAGGGAATCCTTTCCCCATTTCTTGTTTTTCTCAGGTTTGTCAAAGATCAGATAGTTGTAGATATGTGGCATTATTTCTGAGGGCTCTGTTCTGTTCCATTGATCTATATCTCTGTTTTGGTACCAGTACCATGCTGTTTTGGTTACTGTAGCCTTGTAGTATAATTTGAAATCAGGTAGTGTGATGCCTCCAGCTTTGTTCTTTTGGCTTAGGATTGACTTGGCGATGTGGGCTCTTTTTTGGTTCCATATGAACTTTAAAGTAGTTTTTTCCAATTCTGTGAAGAAAGTCATTGGTAGCTTGATGGGGATGGCATTGAATCTGTAAATTACCTTGGGCAGTATGGCCATTTTCAAGATATTGATTCTTCCTACCCATGGGCATGGAATGTTCTTCCATTTGTTTTTATCCTTTTTTATTTCCTTGAGCAGTGGTTTGTAGTTCTCCTTGAAGAGGTCCTTCACATCCCTTGTAAGTTGGATTCCTAGGTATTTTATTCTCTTTGAAGCAATTGTGAATGGGAGTTCACTCATGATTTGGCTCTCTGTTTGTCTGTTGTTGGTGTATAAGAATGCTTGTGATTTTTGTACATTGATTTTGTATCCTGAGACTTTGCTGAAGTTGCTTATCAGCTTAAGGAGATTTTGGGCTGAGACAATGAGGTTTTCTAGATATACAATCATGTCGTCTGCAAACAGGGACAATTTGACTTCCTCTTTTCCTAATTGAATACCCTTTATTTCCTTCTCCTGCCTAATTGCCCTGGCCAGAACTTCCAACACTATGTTGAATAGGAGTGGTGAGAGAGGCCATCCCTGTCTTGTGCCAGTTTTCAAAGGGAATGCTTCCAGTTTTTGTCCATTCAGAATGATATTGGCTGTGGGTTTGTCATAGATAGCTCTTATTATTTTGAAATGCGTCCCATCAATACCTAATTTATTGAGAGTTTTTAGCATGAAGCATTGTTGAATTTTGTCAAAGGCCTTTTCTGAATCTATTGAGATAATCATGTGGTTTTTGTTTTTGGCTCTGTTTATATGCTGGATTACATTTATTGATTTGTGTATATTGAACCAGCCTTACATCCCAGGGATGAAGCCCACTTGATCAAGTTGCATAAGCTTTTTGATGTGTTAATGGATTCGGTTTGCCAGTATTTTATTGAGGATTTTTGCATCAATGTTCATCAAGGATATTGGTCTAAAATTCTCTTTTTTGGTTGTGTCTCTGCCTGGCTTTGGTGTCAGAATGATGCTGGCCTCATTAAATGAGTTAGGGAGGATTCCCTCTTTTTCTGTTGATTGGAATAGTTTCAGAAGGAATGGTACCAGTTCCTCCTTGTACCTCTGGTAGAATTCGGCTGTGAATCCATCTGGTCCTGGACTCTTTTTGGTTGGTAAGCTATTGATTATTGCCACAATTTTGGCTCCTGTTATTGGTCTATTCAGAGATTCAACTTCCTGGTTTAGTCTTCGGAGAGTGTATGTGTCGAGGAATTTATCCATTTCTTCTAGATTTTCTAGTTTATTTGCGTAGAGGTGTTTGTATTATTCTCTGATGGTAGTTAGTATTTTGCTGGGATTGGTGGTGATATCCGCATTATCATTTTTTATTGCGTCTATTTGATTCTTCTCTCTTTTTTTCTTTATTAGTCTTGCTAGAGGTCTATCAATTTTGCTGATCCTTTCAAAAAACCAGCTCCTGGATTCATTAATTTTTTGAAGGGATTTTGTGTCTCTATTTCCTTCAGTTCTGCTCTGATTTTAGTTATTTCTTGCCTTCTGCTAGCTTTTGAATGTGTTTGCTCTTGCTTTTCTAGTTCTTTCAATTGTGATGTTAGGGTGTCAATTTTGGATCTTTCCTGTTTTCCCTTGTGGGCATTTAGTGCTATAAATTTCCCTCTACACAGTGCTTTGAATGCGTCCCAGAGATTCTGGTATGTTGTGTCTTTGTTCTCATTGGTTTCAAAGAATATCTTTATTTCTGCCTTCATTTCCTTATGTACCCAGTAGTCATTCAGGAGCAGGTTGTTCAGTTTCCATGTAGTTGAGCAGTTTTGAGTGAGATTCTTAATCTTGAGTTCTAGTTTGATTGCACTGTCATCTGAGAGATAGTTTCTTATAATTTCTGTTCTTTTACATTTGCTGAGGAGAACTTTACTTCCAAGTATGTGGTCAATTTTGGAATAGGTGTGGTGTGGTGCTGAAAACATGTATATTCTGTTGATTTGGGGTGGAAAGTTCTGGAGATGTCTGTTAGGTCCGCTTGGTGTAGAGCTGAGTTCAATTCCTGGGTATGCTTTTTGACTTCCTGTCTTGTTGATCTGTCTAATGTTGACAGTGGGGTGTTAAAGTCTCCCATTATTAATGTGTGGGAGTCTAAGTCTCTTTGTAGGTCACTCAGGACTTGCTTTATGAATCTGCATGCTCCTGTATTGGGTGCATATATATTTAGGATAGTTAGCTCTTCTTGTTGAATTGATCCCTTTACCATTATGTAATGGCCTTCTTTGTCTCTTTTGATCTTTCTTGGTTTAAAGTCTGTTTTATCAGAGACTAGGATTACAACCCCTGCCTTTTTTTGTTTTCCATTTGCTTGGTAGATCTTCCTCCATCCTTTTATTTTGAACCTATGTGTGTCTCTGCACGTGAGATGAGTTTCCTGAATACAGCACACTGATGGTTCTTGACTCTTTATCCAATTTGCCAGTCTGTGTCTTTTAATTGGAGCATTTAGTCCATTTACATTTAAAGTTAATATTGTTATGTGTGAATTTGATCCTGTCATTATGATGTTAGCTGGTTATTTTGCTCGTTAGTTAATGCAGTTTCTTCCTAGTCTCGACGGTGTTTACATTTTGGCATGATTTTGCAGCGGCTGGTACCAGTTGATCCTTTCCATGTTTAGTGCTTCCTTCAGGAGCTCTTGTAAGGCAGGCCTGGTCGTGACAAAATCTCTCAGCATTTGCTTGTCTGTAAAGTATTTTATTTCTCCTTTGCTTATGAAGCTTAGCTTGGCTGGATATGAAATTCTGGGTTGAAAATTCTTTTCTTTAAGAATGTTGAATATTGGCCCCCACTCTCTTCTGGCTTGTAGGGTTTCTGCTGAGAGATCCGCTGTTAGTCTGATGGGCTTCCCTTTGAGGGTAGCCCGACCTTTCTCTCTGGCTGCCCTTAACATTTTTTCCTTCATTTCAACTTTGGTGAATCTGACAATTATGTGTCTTGGAGTTGCTCTTCTCGAGGAGTATCTTTGTGGCGTTCTCTGTATTTTCTGAATCTGAATGTTGGCCTGCCTTGCTAGATTGGGGAAGTTCTCCTGGATAATGTCCTGCAGTGTTTTCCAACTTGGTTCCATTCTCCCTATCACTTTCAGGTACACCAATCAGATGTAGATTTGGTCTTTTCACATAGTCCCATATTTCTTGGAGGCTTTGCTCATTTCTTTTTATTCTTTTTTCTCTAAACTTCCCTTCTCATTTCATTTCATTCATTTCATCTTCCATCGCTGATACCCTTTCTTCCAGTTGATCGCATCGGCTCCTGAGGCTTCTGCATTCTTCACGTAGTTCTCGAGCCTTCGTTTTCAGCTCCATCAGCTCCTTTAAGAAATTCTCTCTATTGGTTATTCTAGTTATACATTCTTCTAAATTTTTTTCAAAGTTTTCAACTTTGCCTTTGGTTTGAATGTCCTGCCATAGCTCAGAGTAATTTGATCATCTGAAGCCTTCTCTCAGCTCGTCAAAATCATTCTCCATCCAGCTTTGTTCCGTTGCTGGTGAGGAACTGCATTCCTTTGGAGGAGGAGAGGCGCTCTGCTTTTTAGAGTTTCCAGTTTTTCTGTTCTGTTTTTTCCCCATCTTTGTGGTTTTATCTACTTTTGGTCTTTGATGATGGTGATGTACACATGGGTTCTTGGTGTGGATGTCCTTTCTGTTTTTTAGTTTTCCTTCTAACAGACAGTACCCTCAGTTTCAGGTCTGTTGGAGTTTTCTAGAGGCCCATTCCCGACCCTGTTTGCCTGGGTATCAGCAGTGGTGTCTGCAAAACCGTGGATTTTCATGATCCGTGAATGCTGCTGTCTGATCGTTCCTCTGGAAGTTTTGTCTCAGAGGAGTACCTGGTCGTGTGAGGTGTCAGTCTGCCCCTGCTAGGGGGCGCCTCCCAGTTAGGCTGCTCGGGGGTCAGGGGTCAGGGACCCACTTGAGGAGGCAGTCTGCCCATTCTCAGATCTCCAGCTGTGTGCTGGGAGAACCACTGCTCTCCTCAAAGCTGTCAGACAGGGACATTTAAGTCTGCAGAGGTTACTGCTGTCTTTTTGTTTGTCTGTGTCCTGCCCCCAGAGGTGGAGCCTGCAGAGGCAGGCAGGCCTCCTTGAGCTGTGGTGGGCTCCACCCAGTTCGAGCTTCCAGGCTGCTTTGTTTACCTAAGAGAGCCTGGGCAATGGCCGGTGCCCCTCCCCCAGCCTCGCTGCTGCCTTGCAGTTTGATCTCAGACTGCTGTGTTAGCAATCATCGAGACTCCATGGGCATAGGACCTTCTGAGCCAGGTGCGGGATATAATCTCGTGGTGTGCCATTTCCTAAGCCCATCAGAAAAGCTCAGTATTAGGGTGGCAGTGGCCCGATTTTCCAGGTGCCATCTGTCACCCCTTTCCTTGACCAGGAAAGGGAACTAACTTCCTGACCCCTTGCACTTCCCGAGTGAGGCAATGCCTTGCCCTGCTTTGGCTAGTGCACAGTGCACTTCACCCACTGTCCTGCACCCACTGTCTGGCACTCCCTAGTGAGATGAACCCAGTACCTCAAATGGAAATGCAGAAATCACCCATCTTCTGCATCGCTCATGCTGGGAGCTGTAGACCGGAGCTGTTCCTATTCGGCCATCTTGGCTCCTCCTCCCATTATTTTTTAATATTTTCTGAAAATCTTCTTTAAAGAGAGAAAGCCAAATGTCACCCACTTTTTCATAAAACCTTACAGGCAAATCTATTATTCTTTTCTTTTTTGAGATGGATTTTCCCTCTTGTTGCCCAAGCTGGAGTGCAATGGTGCGATCTCGGTTTACTGCAACCCCCTGCCTCCCAGGTTCAAGTGATTCTCCGGCCCCAGCCTCCTGAGTAGCTGGGATTAGAGGCATGCCCCACCATGCCCAGCTAATTTTGTGTTTTTAGTAGAGACGGGGTTTTTCCTTGTTGGTCAGGCTGGCCTTGAACTCCTGACCTCATGTGATCCACCTGCCTCGGCCTCCCCAAGTGTTGAGATTACAGCTGTGAGCCACTGCCCCGGGCCATTTTTTTTTAAAGATAGCGTCTTGCTCTGTCACCCTCCTCACCACATTATAGCTCTGGGGGCCAAGCTGCATCACAATGGAAATCATGGAGCCACAGGAAGAATCCACTTAGCTTTGCAAGATGCTGCCCAAGGGGTTGCTTGGAGTAACCAAATTAACATTTTTCATTCTGCTCAGAGCAAAATATATGTGACAAAACATAGCCACGAGCCACTTTGCTTAGCACCCAGTGTCAAACTGGTAAGACTCAAACTTCCTCCCAGATAGGCCATGCCATCTCTAAATCTTTTTAGAAGCTTCTGCATGTTAATAGGCATCCCTAGATGAGACTAATTTGGGAGCCATCATTTTTAAATGCACTTCAGGGCATTATTCATTTGGAATGTTACACTATAAGTTATCTTTAGTAAGATTTTGCCATTTCTGTAAGACTTTGCTGCTTCCCAGGCCTAATGAATTAGCCAGAAAGAACTTAGTTTTCCAGAAATTAAGGATCCTATTTTTACCTAATATATTGGCTTTACTCTCAGGTTCCCTTGATTGACTTAGCCAATGATTTTTTTTCCTACCTAAGCGTGTGAGGAAAATGAAACAAAGGGGCAGAACACAAAAATCCCCGTGAATTTCCAAAAGCCAAATTTTACAACCCTCCAATATTATCATTTACTACCACTTTCCTTCTGACCCATTCAGATGTAGGAGGCCTCTAACTGGAACTGGATTCAAGCCAGTTAATTACTGGATCAAATCTGATCCTGGACCCGGTCCCGTTTCTGTCATAACTTCTAAAACATCCAGCCAGTCATGGCTGGATAGCAGTTTGGAACAGAAATTTGCTCAGAGAAACTCAGCTCAAAACACAAATTCATGGAGCTCTGAAATCCGAGAGAGAATTTACCACGATCCCCAGATGCTCTGAGAGGTCAAAGGGCACAAGTGTTACAGAATCCTGAGGCGTCACTTTTCTGCCTGAAACCTCTGGCTGGTGGCGCCTTTACCTGTGTTTTGCTCGGGCCCACTGGGTTCGTTCTGTCCACTTGGCTCATGCTAGTGGTCTGGATCCCACACCTGCCAAGGGTGAGCTGGGTACAGAGCAGTGAAGGGTGTGTGAGCAAGCGAGCATGGGATCTGGCCACTGCACACAGCCAAGCATGCCAGCTGCAGTGGGGTGGGCAGCTCCAGGCACCGCCACAGGTGCCAGCTCCCTGTGAGGCTGCAGCTGGACCAGGCTGACTGCAAACAGCTTCCACTGTGGGTATCAGGGAATGCAGCGGTGCCTGGAAGCTTCGAGATGCAGGAACTGCAGAGCCCCAAATAAGGTGTCACAGCCCTGGCTTGGGGAGCTCCTAGGTCTGGGCTCCCTGAAGGGCCACAGCTCTTCTCTCCTTCTCTCTTCTCTTCTTCTTGCCTGCAATTTGGCAAGCAAGGGGTGCGTTTCAGCCCTGTTTATGTTACACCTCTTTCAGCCCTGCTAGTTGGCAGGTCCCGAGTTCTTGTCCTGAGTCCAGGAAGAATGAGGTATGTGGGCAAGTAGAAGGTGAGCAAGGTGAAGAGGTGCTTTATTGAGCAACAGTACAGCTCAGAGGAGACGTGCAGTGGGTAGCTCCTTTCGGCAGGCAGGTCATCCCAATGTCTGTTCAGCTCTCAGCAGCTGAGAGAGATGCATGGTGGTTAGCTATGCCCACAGTGCCCAGGCTTTTCGAGCTGAGGAGTGCCTTCAAGCCAGTGCTGAGCCACTCTTAGCCCCACCTCAACGTCCCTCCTGTGCTCATCAGTTCCCAAAGTGTGGAGGGGGCCGAGGTGGCAGGGGGCTGGCATGTCAGCACTGCCCTGAGCTTGCACAAACTGGGCTGGGTTGCGACTGTGCCTGGGTTCAACCTCAATTTGGATCCGAAGTTGGAGTGGGCTCTGGGAGCGGAGACATGCCAGGTGGTGGGAGCAGGTATGACTGGGCCTACGGGGGCAGGGGGGCTTGCTGGGCCTCTGAGAGTGCAAAGATGCCCGGGTTTGCTGTCATGGGTGGATGGCTGCAGCTGTGCCTGGGAGGGTGGGGCTCCTGCCTGCCAATTTAGAAGGGGTGGGTCTCTCACCTGTTCCTGGCTCCCACTAACTTTGAGGAGTTCACAGCCCCAGCCACTCCTCCCCACTGCAGCCAGTGTCTCCGTAGCAACTGCTCCACATGGGCCACTGCTGCCATCATAGAGCGGTCCTTGCAGGTGCCTTTCTTGTACCTCAGCACTCCTGGGGGTCATTAGAAGCCCTAGCAACACTGCTCACCACACTATAGCTCCAGAGGCCCTAGCAGTCCTGCTCCCACAGATCCCACTTCTGACACCATCTATTAAAAGAAAATCTTCAGCTGAATTAAATTTAAAGGAACTTAATTGAGCAATGAATGATTCACGAATCAGGCAGCCCCCAGAATCACAGCAGATTCAGTGAGACTCCAGCACAGCTACATGGTGGAAGATTTATAGACAATAAAGGGAACGTGATGTACAGAAATCTGAAGTGAGGAGTGAGGTCCAGAAGCAACTGGGTCCGTTACAGTTCTCAGCAGTGAGGTCCAGAAACAACTGGACTGGTTACAGTGCTCAGCATTTGCCTTATTTGAACACAGCTGAACACTCAGTAGTGTGTGAGTGGCAGAAGTTTGGCTGTTGGGATTGGCCAGGACTCAGCTATAGTTACAGGTGCATACTCCAAAGTTAGGTTATCAGTCTTTCTACCTATTAAGTTAGGTTGCAGTTTGTCCACAGGGACTCAAATCTAGAAGTACAGAGTCCTTCCCAGGCCATATTTAGTTCACTGTAACAGTTCCTATTATGACCTCACTGACAGTTCTTTTTCTCTGAATTTTCCTTTCTTCTCAACAGCTTGTCCAAATGTTCCATTGGTCCCTGTTCATCCCGCCCTGCAGCTCTCCTTGACTGATTCTGCCCTTTGTGGTTTGCAGTCCTGTTTCTCTACAGCTTGGACCCCTTCAATCTTTCCATCATAGGTTTAACTCTCTGTTGAATTCTTATTTGTAGCTACGCAAATGTTACCTTAAGCTAAAAAAATTCAAAGTGAAAGCCACATCCTCCTCTCTTCCCTTATGTGTATGGTATTACTACCATGCAGCCAGTGACCCAAAATGGGATTTTTTCTGGGCTTTTCTTGCTTAGATTCAGGCTCATCTGGTGTCAAGCCTTGTTACTTTTGTTTCCTTGTTCTTTTATTTTTAATTTTTTTTCTTTTGAGACAGAGTTTCACTCTTGTTGCCCAGGCTAGAGTGCAGTGGTGTGATCCCGGCTCACTGCAGCCTCCACCTCCCGGGTTCAAGCAATTCTCCTGCCTCAGCTCCTGAGTAGCTGGTATTACAGGCATTTGCCACCACGCCTGGCTAATTTTGTATTTTTAGTAGAGATGGGGTTTCTCTGTTTTGATCAGGGTGGTCTCGAGCTCCCGACCTCAGGTGATCTGCCCACCTCGGCCTCCCAAAGTGCTGGGATTACAGGCCTGAGCCACCGTGCCTGGCCTGCTTGTTGTTTTCATCTCATCCTGATTTCTGAATACAGGAGAGGAGCTGAGTTGGTGTTCACTAACAAGCACAGAAGCTTTGTTACATTTACAGTGTCATTCTTGGCAAAACCTGAATGGTATGTTTGTGGGGTGATGAGGTTCAGTCCCCTGTGACCTGTGCATCTGGCCAACACTGTGGTGACATCCTTAGGAATCCATGGGGAGAGACAAAGCATTCAGGAGTTAGTGGGTCACGTTTGACAAGGGCCAATAAAGAAATATGCAAAGACAAAAAACAAGAAGAACATTATCATATTTTATACCTTTTGTTTATATAAATTTATGTCAATGATTCTAGCTTATGTTAATATACAATGTATACAATATGCTAACATATACAATATATGTTTATAGTTTAAACATTTCTGTCATGTTTTCAGATTCTTTAAAGATTACATTACACTTCCTATTTCAGATAGCTGTTTAAAATGAGTAAGGAAAAACGGATGTGTGCATCAGTTCTAACTGTTTATGGACTAAAACTAGTTGATTTCTTGGTTAAGAACAAAAAGTGACAACCTAATTAACTGAAAATTTTAAGTAGGCAATTATGGTTTTAGCTTTAATGTAAAATATTAACTATGCTCCATTCTTGCATTTTTAACCTAATACTCAATATAAATCGCCACATGCCATGTTTCAGATCAAGGTTCTACTTGTGATCTCTCATGAGTTTTTCAAGGTTTTAATTATCTGAGATGTAACAATGTACCCATAACCTTACTGGCTTAAACCAGGAATTTATTCTTTTTACATGTCACAATTTTCTGGGTCAAGACACTGGACAGAGCGGTGTGGGTTGGTTGCTTCATGATGTCCCTGGTCTCATCTGGAAGGACTCTAGTGGCTGGAGATGTGAAGCAGGCACCCAGAAGGACTCTAGTGGCTGGGGACATGGAGCAGGCACCCAGCCCTCTCTTTGTGGCCAGCACGGACTTCCTTCCAGTCTGGTAGCATCAGGTAGTCAGGTTTGTCTGGCTTCTCCCAGGGTGTGTGTCCAAGAGGCCCAGGCAGAAGCTGTAAGGTCTCTCATGATCATCCCTCAGAAGTCCCAGAGCATCTCTCCTGCCACACTGTCCAGTTGTACTCATCACTGAGACCAGCCATGATTCAAGGGGGAAAGGTGATTAGATTCCACCTCTTGATGAGAAGCATAGTAGGAACCTGCAGCAGTCTTTAATAAACCACAGCTTGTCCTCTGGCCACAAACTATTAACGTTTCTCCCACATGCAAATTATGCTTTGCCCCTCTCAAGAGCCCCAGAATGGTTTTCCTTATGGCACTGGCTAGTAGCCCAACTGAATCCTGAATCAGGTTGTGGTGGCTTGTCATCTGCACCCACACACACTCAGCTGCAGTGAGGACTGAATCAGGTTGTGGTGGCCTGTCATCTGACCCCCCACACACAGCCACAGTGGGGACTGAATCAGGTTGTTGTGAGCTATCATCTGAGCCCACAAACTTAGCCGCAGTGAGGGGACTGCTGTGAAAACAGTCGACATTTCCCTTTAGAAGCTTTGGTGGGAGGCAAGAGGGAAGTGCTGCCCTGCAGGCCCCGTCTAACAGTTGGTCATTCCCATGGGGCGCCTGTTACAGTTCTGTGATTAGTGCCCAGTCCTGGTCCCTGAAAACGGCGCCCAGTCCTGGTCCCTGAGAATGGTGTTTGTGTCCTTTTACTCCTCCCTCTGGGCTTTTGTCATTCTCCATGTTCTTTTTCCTTCAGTGCCTGGGTTGCCGTTGACCAGCTTTCCCTGCCTTTTTCTTATGGTCAATAGGGTATTCAATGGCTTCTTTTTCATTTTTTTTCCTTTTCTTTTCTTTTCTTTTTTTTTACTTTGGCCTTTTGAGACAAGAAATTATTTCTTTATATTTTCTCTAAATTCTGTTTGAAAACTGAACCTTCTTCTTTAGATCATGTCCCTCTCCTGTCATATTTATTCAGTGACAGTTAGGGGAGGCTGGTAGCACTTTCCATGTTCTTCCCAGATGTCTCCTTAGGCAGATCCCTGAGATGGTGCAGTGCCCTTTCAGTTTCCATGTTGTGGCCATAGTTTTCCCACAGTCCCTCAGCAAGTAACTCTCAGACCTTTTCTCCAGTTTCCAATGACATTTTCTCACCGTCCTTCAGGCCCTGACCAAGAGTCTTGATGCCCTTCCAGGTTGCATGAATGGTCTCCTTGAGGCCCAGTTACAGGTCAGCCTCACAGTCGTGTCACATATTGTAGCTTCTGATTACCACAGCAGCTCATTTCCAGCTGCCATATTCTGTTCCAGTTATCTATTCTGAAGTAAAACAACTCATTATTACTTGTTTTTTGGCTTAGAGAGTCTTGGTGGCCAGCTCATCTCACACACAGTTGCAGCCAAGCTGGATTGTGTGAAAGCACAGTGGGGTGGTGTGCAGGGTGGCTCACTAGTGGTTGGGAGTGGATGTTGCTGGAGGCTCACTAGTTGTTGGGAGTCGGTGTTGCTGGAGGCTCAGTGGGGGATGTCAATGCGTGTAGCTAGTCATGGACTGGCCTTGTGGTTTCCATCATGAGGTCTCAGGGGAGTGGGATTTCCTGCCTGGTGACTGGCTTTCTCCTGGGTAAGTGTTCTGTTTTCTCAGCCTGGCTTCTGAAGTCCCCAAATACCAGCTTTGTCACCTTCTGTTGGCCAAATAAGTCAGTAGTCTGGTCAAGGTTTAAGGGGAATTGGTTCTCACAGAGAGAGGAGCAGGAAAGAATTTGTCACCTTTAGTCTACCAGAAATGAGATTTTTATAACAAGTTTATTCCAAATACATTCCAGTTCCCCTTGTGAATACTTTTTTGACTCACAGGGTATTTCAAAGTTTATTACTTGGTTTTCAGACATTTGAGGCTTTTCTGGATATCAATTTGTTGTTGGTTTCTAATTTAATTTCAAGTGTTCAGACAACATCCTTTGTATACTATTTCAGGCTTGAACCTTTTCTCAATCCATCGACATACAGTCTATCTTGGCACTGCCAAGTACCATTTGGGTCAGGATTTTGTCATTTAGATCCGTATTTTTCCTATATTTTTATCTGGTTGTTCCGTCAGTTACTGAGAGAGCAGTATTAATTCACCAGCTATAATTTTGGATTGTCAATTTCCTGCTTTTGTTCTGTTGTTTTTGATTCACATACTTTGAGGTTCTGTGTGTGTGTGTGTAGTTTGTGTGCACTTTGAGGCACAATTTATAATTGTAACATCATCCTCTCTGATTCTTTTATTTTTATTAAATTACCCTGTTTATTTCTGGTGATATATTTTGTTCTGAAGCCTCTTTCATCTAGTGTTAACATCTCTGTTGAAGCTTTTTATGATTAGTGTCTGGATAGCATATTTTTATGTTTAGCATCTGCATAGCATATTTTTTCTCATACTTTGTGTCTTTGTGTTTAAATTGTGTCTCTGTGGATGCCATATTGTTGGGTCTTGCCTTCCTCTCAGGTCTGGCAGTCTCTGTCTTAAGTAGAGTATTTGTCCACTTACATTGTAACTAATCATTGCTAAGGTTGGATTTAGGTCTGCCATTTTTCTACTTATTTTCTATTTGTTTGTTTATTTTTTTTAAGACAGGGTCTTGTTCTGTCACCCAGTCTGTAGTGCAATGGTGCAATCTTGGCTCACTGCAACCTCTGCCTCCCAGGCCCAACCAATCCTCACTTGAGCCCCCTGAGTAGCTGGGACTACAAGTGCATGGCACCACACCTGGCTAATTTTTATATTTTTGTAGAGATAGGGTTTTGCCATGTTGCACAGGCTGGTCTTGAACTACTGAGCTCAAGCAATCTACCCACCTTGGCCTCCCAAAGTGTTCAGATTACAGGCATGAGCCACCATGCCTGGCCTTCGTCTGTCTTTTGATCTTCTATATATTCTTTCCTAACTTCTTTTGGGTTAAATATTTCTAAATATTCCAGTTTGATTAATCTTTTGGCTTTTGGAAATAATTTTTTATAGGCTGGGCATGTTGGCTTATGCTCATAATCTCAGCTCTGTGTGAGTCCAAGGGAGGTGGATTGCTTGAACCCAGGAGTTTGAGACCAGCCTGGGCAACATGGCAAAACCCTCTCTACAAAAAACCAAACCAAAATTTAGCCTGACATCTTGGTGTGCACCTGTAGTCCTAACTATTTGGGAGGCTGAGGTGGGAGGGTTGCTTGAGCCTGGGAGGTTGAGGCTGCAATGAGCTGTGATCATGCCATTCCACTCCTGCCAGGGCAACAGAGTAAGACCGTGTGTCAAAAAAGATCATTTTTTATAAATAATTTATAATTTCGAATTTTGGTAACAAACACATACCTTAAAATTTACCATCATAACCAGTTGTAAGTATACAGTTTTGTAGAGTTAAGAATATTTACATTGTTGTGTAGCAGATTTCTAGATTTTTTTTTATCTTAGAAAACTCTATACCCATTCAACAACTATTAATTTCCCCTTCCTTCCACCTCCTGGCAAGTACTATTCTACTTTGTGTTTCTAAAAATTTGGCTTATATACCTAGGGTTATATAATATTTGTTTTTTAAGTAGGTTCCATGTTATGTGCAGATGTGTCAGGATTTTCTTCCTTTCTATGGCTGAATAATATTTCTTCATATATATATATTTTCTCTATATATATATATATGTATATTCTTTTGTTTATCCATCTATTCCTGGATGGACGTTTTGGTTTCTTCCACCTCGTGGCTATGTAATGCTCCTGTGAACACAGGTGTACACATATCTGTTTGAGGTCCTGCTACTAGTTATTCTGTCTCTGTAGAAGTTGGATGGCTGGATCATATGGTCATTTTATTTTATTTTTTTGAGGAGCCAGTTAATATTTCCACCAACAGTGTTCAAGTGTTTCAGTTTCACCTGCACTTGTTACTTTCTGTTGGGTTTGAAGTGATGTCCCATTGTGGTTTCTATTTGCATTTCTCTAATGATTAGTGATGTTACACATCTTCTCATATATCTCATGTATCTGTTGGCTATTTGTATATCATCTTTGCATCTTTGGATGAATGTTCTTTGTCCATTTTTTAATCACTTTATTTTGTTGTGTTGTAGCTGGGTTTTTTGGTCATGAGCATTCATTTATCTCACAGTTCATTCTTGTTACTTGGGCCAGGGTCATGATCATTCATTATCTCTCAGTTCATCCTCATTACGTTGGGCAAACAGTCATGCTGCAGGGTATAGATTATGTTATTCTGTTACTTTCAGGTAGAATTCGGGTCTAGGTTCTAATTGTTTCTAAGTTTAGATTCTGAATGAGAATCAGCAGAGGTAGACCACTGCTGCTGAGGCCTGGGGATTGCTGGGAAAAAGGCAGGAAACAGATATTGACCTGACCATGGAGGGTTTATGTTTCACGGCTCCCATCTGGGTACCCAAGGAACCTACATGTAGCTCGTGTGTGGAGAGCCTACATTGCCCACTCAAAGCAATTGAGGATGGAACAGTCTTGGGGCTGGAGCTCATTATTTGGAATGATAACCACATCTGCACAGAGAGGACCTGATAAGATGTTGTCCTTCCATGTATATCTGGGAATCCTGTGTAGGGTCTCTCTGTAAGGACAGGGGCAGTGTTGGCTCCTTGGCCTCTAGTTAGCTTCACAAGTAGTCTAGTAAAGGCTTTGCCAACTTGTCACCATCTGTGGATATTCTGGTCAGCTCTTGTTTTCACCCTACTGACTTCTTCAGACACTAGGCTTTTGCTTTAGACCATTCATGGTTTTCTTCCTCTTCAAATCAGTAATCAATAAATCGCCTTCAAGTCAATAAATTTCCACTCCTTTAGGAAACCCTGATCTTCTGGTCACACCAAGGTTTAATTAACTGGTTTGATTGTTTTTCTGTTTTCTTGGATTTTTTTTCCTTCTTCCTGGGGGTTTCTAGTAATTCTAGTTTGATGTCTCACTTTCTCCATTTTTTATTTCTTAGTTTTCTTCTGTGATTATTTTCACTGCAGCTGCAGGGCCTAATCCTGGGTTGGCAGAGAACTAGCACTTACTCTGCCCTAATTGGAATCCAGGAGAGATAGCAGGTTCCCTAGTGTGAAAATGTGTTTGCTCCTCTCTGCTTCTGGTAGTCTCTCTGTAGGAGTTCTTTACGCATTCTGAATGTTCACTTCTTATGAGATACATGATGTGCAACTATAGGTTGAATGTCTCTGATCCAAAAATCTGAAATCCCAAATGCTCCAAAGTCTGAAACTTTTTGAGTGCCAACATGACACTCAAAGGAAATGCTTATTGGAGCATCTCAGACTCAGGTGTTTGAATTTGAGATCCTCAACCAGTAAGAATAGTGCAAATATTACAAAATCTGAAACACATCCCAAGCATTTCAAATAAGGGACACTCAACTGGTATTTTTTTTAATTTTACAGTTTGCCTTTTACCCTGTTGGTTGTGACCTTTGAGGTACAGAAGTTTTTAGGTTTGATATATTTTTGCTTTTACTGCCTGAGCTTTTAATGTCATATCCTAAAAATTATTGACAAATTCATCGTCATAAAGCATTTTCCAAATTTGTTTTCCCTAGGAGTTTGATAGTTCTAGTTTTACATTTAGGTTTATAATTCACTTTGAATTGATTTTAACGTGGTGTAAGGTAAGAGTCCAACTTCATTGTTTTGCATGTAGTTATACAATTTTCCCATCATCACTTGTTGAAGAAACTGTGCTTTTCCATTGAGTGGTCTTGGCATCCTTCTGGAAGATCATCGGACCATATATGCCAGGGTTGGTTTCTGAGGTCTCTGTTGTGTTGGTCCATAAGTGTGTCAAGAGTGTCTTTATGCCATGACCACATTTTTTCTTTTTGGCTTATTGCAGTTTTGTAATTGCTTTGAGACGTTTAATTTTGTTCTGTTTCAAGATTGATTTGCCTATTCATGGGCCCTGGAGATTCCATATGAGTTTTAGGATAGGTTTTTCTGTTTATCAAAAATGTCATTGGAATCTTTATAAGGATTGTATTGAATCTAGGTCACTTCGAGTAGTGTTGACATCATTCCAAGATGAAATCATCTAATTTGCAAACCCAGCTTTTCTTTTCATTTATTTGTGTTTAATTTCTTTTAACAGTGTTTTGTAGTTTTCTGTGTTCAAATCTTTTGCCCTCTTGGTTAAGCTTATTTCTAATTTTTATAATGCTGTTGTAAATATAATTTTTTTTTTTTGAGATGGAGTCTTGCTCTGTCTCCCAGGCTGGAGTGCAGTGGCACTATCTCAGGTCACTGCAACCTGCACCTTCCTTATTCAAGCGATTCTCCAACCTCAGCCTCTCAAGTACCTGGGATCACAGGTGCGCGCCACCATGCCCAGCTAACTTTTTGGTATTTTTAGTAGAGACAGTGTTTCTCCATGTTGACCAGGCTATTCTTGAACTTGTGACCTCAGGTGATCTGCCCACCTCGGCCTCCCAAACTGCTGGGATTGCAGGCATGAACCACTGCACCCAGCCAAATGTCATTCTTTTTAAAAATTTCTTTTCTTTTGTTTTCTCTTTCTTTTCTTTTCTTTCTCTCTCTTTCTTTCCTTTCTTTCTTTTTTTTTGAGACGGTGTCTCACTCTGTTTCCTAAGCTGGAGCACAGTGGCACAGTCTCAGCTGACTGCAACCTCCACCTTCCAAGTTCAAGCAATTCTCCTGCCTCAGCCTCCCAAGTAGCTGGGACTACAGGTGTCTGCCACTATGCCCAGCTAATTTTTGTATTTTTAATAGCGATAGAGTTTTACTATTTATATTAGAGATGGGGTTGACCCAGCTGGTCACGAACTCCTGACCTCAGGTGGTCCACCCGCCTTGGCCTTCCAAAGTGCTGGGATTACAACTGTGAGCCACTGCACCTGGCCTCTTTTTAAAATTTTATTTGCAGATTGTTCATTGTTAGTTTATAGAAATGGAACTGACTTGTGTGTGTTACTGTATCCTGAAACTTTGTTGAATTTCATTATTCTACCAGTATTTTGTGGAATTTCAGGATTTTTACACATTACATCATGTTGTCTGTGAACAAAATTTTGTACTTTTTCCTTTCCAATTTGCATGCTTTTTATTACTTTCTCTTGCCTAATTATTCTGAGTAGAAATTCCAGTACTGTGGTGAATAGAAGTGGCAGGAAGAGATGTTGCTATCTTATTCCTGATCCTAGAGGAAAAGATTTTAGTTTTTCACCATTCAGTATGATGTTAGCTGTGAGCTTTTCATGTATAATCTTTATTTACTGAGGAGTTTCCATATATTACTAATTCTTTGAGTGTTTTTATTACAAAAGGTGTTCATCTGGCTCTGGAACCAGATAAATGTTGACCTGATAGAGTGGATTGGAATGTCCCCTTCTGGTTTTTGAACATTTTTGGAATATTTTACAAAGGGCTGGCATTAATTCTTCTTGAAATGTTTGGTAAAATTTTCCAGTGAAGTTATCTGGACCTGGAATTTTCTTTTTTGGGGGGTTTTTGATTACTGGTTGAATCTTCTTACTAGTTACAGGTCTCTTTGGATTTTTTATTTCTCCATGATGCAGTATGGTGGTTTGTGTTTCTAGGAATTTATAAATTTATTCTAGGTTGCCCAGTTCTGTGGCATATGGTTGCTCACATTAGTCTCTTGTAATCTTTTTCATTTCTGTGGAATCTGTTGTACTGTCACCTCTTTTATTTATGATTTTAGTATTTGAGATTTCTCTTTTTTTCTTAATATAGCTGTGAGTTTTAAAATTTTTATTGATCTTTAAAAAAACAAACTCAGTGGTTTTTTTTTTCCTTTTTTTCTGGTCTTATTCTGCTTATCTCTGTTCTAATCTGTTATTTTCTTCCTTTTGCTTGGTTTGTCATTAGTTTTTTTTTTTTTCCCTTTAGGTGTAATGTTAGGTTATTGATTTGAGATCTTTCTTCTTTTTAATTTGATCACCTGCAGCTATAAGCTTCCCTTTAGCATGGCTTTGAGATCTTTCTTCTTTTTAATTTAAGCATCTGTGGCTGTAAGCTTCCCTTTAGCACTGCCTTTGTTGCCTCCTCCTGAGTTTGGGTATGTCATGGTTTTGTTTTCATTTGCTTAAACATTTTTTTTTGTCCTATTGTAATATAATTGTGTTGTTTTTAATAGAGGTAATTAATGAAACACATAATGAATTGTGCTTCTGTTTTTATAATATTTTAAGCATTCTTAACTCAGAAATGTAAATTTTAGAAAAAAATTCCAGGCCAGGCACAGTGGCTCACACCTGTAGTCCCAGCACTTGAGGAGGCCGAGGTGGGAGGATCATCTGAGGTCAGGAGTTGGAGACCAGCCTGGCCAACATGGTGAAACCCTGTCTTTACTAAAAATAGAAAAAAAATATATAAAAGCTAGCTGAGTGTCATGGCGGGTGCCTGTAATCCCAGCTACTCTGGAGGCTGAGGCAGGAGAATCACTTGAATCTGGGAGGCGGAGGTTGCAGTGAGCTGAGATTGCACCACTGCACTCCAGCCTGGGTGACAGAATGAGTCCATCTCAAAAAAAAAAGAAAAAAGAAAAAATTTGAGACATATTTATTTGTATTTCAATTTAGAAACTATGATCTCCTAAGTGTATTGACACAGCAACCTGACATAAAGATAAAGAATAATAAGTATATAACAAAACGGAAACTTGCAAATACCTTTTTTAATTAATTTTTAATTATATATATTTAAAAATTGCCGGGTGCAGTGGCTTACACCTGTAATCCCAGCACTTTGGGAGGCTGAGGTGGGCAGATCACATGAGGTCAGGAGTTTGAGACCAGCCTGGCCAACATGGTGAAACCTCATCTCTATTAAAAATCAAAAAATTAGCCAGGCGTGATAGCATGCATCTGTAGTCCCAGCTACTCAGGAGACTGAGGCAGCAGAATTGCTTGAACATGGGAGGCAGAGGTTGCAGTGAGCCAAGATAGTGCCACTGCACTCCAGCCTTGGTGACAGAGTGAGACTCTGACTCAAAAAAAAATTGTCTGGGCACGGTGGCTCACACCTGTAATCGCAGCATTTTGGGAAGCTGAGGCAGGCAGATCACGTTAGGAGATCGAGACCATCCGGGCTAACACGGTGAAATGCCATCTCTACTAAAAATACAAAAAATTAGCCGGACGTGGTGGCGGGTGCCTGTAGTTCCAGATACTCCGGAAGTTGAGGCAGGAGAATGGTGTGAACCTGGGAGGTGGAGCTTGCAGTGAGCTGAGATTGCACCACTGGACTCCAGCCTGGGTGACAGAGCGAGACTCTGTCTCAAATAAAATAAAATAAAATAAAACTAAGGTGTGGTTGACATACAAAAATTACACATATTTAATATATACCTTTGTGTGTGTGTGTGTGTGTGTGTGTGTGTGTGTGTGTTACGGAGGTTTTACTCTTGTTGCCCAGGCTGGAGTGCAGTGACACGATCTCAGCTAGCTGCAACCTCCACCTCCCGGGTTCAAGCAATTCTCCTGCCTCAGCCTCCTGAGTAGCTGGGATCGCAGGCGTGCGCCCCGACACCCGGCTAATTTTTGTATTTTTTTAGTACAGACAGGGTTTCACCATGTTGGCCAGGCTGGTCTCGAACTCCTGACCTCAGATGATCCACCTGCCTTTGTCTCCCAAAGTGCTGGGATTACAGGCGTGTGACACCGAATATATACATCTTAATGAGTTTAGAGATAAGTATTCGCCCCAGGACTCATCACAACAAATAATGCCGTAAACTTGACCATCACTCCCCATATATTTCTCATTCTGACCCTTTTTAAAAAATGAGACCGGGAGTGGTGGCTCACGCCTGTAATCCCAGCATTTTGCGAGGCCGAGGCGGGTGGATCACGAGGTCAGGAGATCAAGACCATCCTGGCTAACACAGTGAAACCCCGTTTCTACTAAAAATACAGAAAATTAGCTGGGCGTGATGGCGGGCACCTGTAGTCCCAGCTACTTGGGAGACTGAGGCAGGATAGTGGTATGAACTCGGGAGGCAGAGCTTGCAGTGAGCTGAGATCGTGCCACTGCACTCCAGCCTGGGCAACAGAGTGAGACTCCGTCTCAAAAAAAAAAATGAGATGACCATTTCACCTAAAATATACCCTCTTAAGTTTTATTTTAAGTGTACAATACAGGACGGCCATGCATCAGAGATATATGTGGGTTTGGTTCCAGACCACTGCAATAAAGTGAGTTATACAATTTCTTTTGGTTTTCCAGTGCATGTAAAAGTATGTTTATACTGTGCTGTATAAAGTGTGCAATAGCATATGTCTACAAAGTGTTCACACTTTAATTTACAAATACTTTATTGTTAACAAGTGCTAACAGTCATCTGAGCCTTCAGAAAGCTGCAATCTTTTTTTGTGTGTGTGACAGGGTTTTACTCTGTGGCTCAGGCTAGAGTAATTGCAGTCTCAACCTCATGCTCAATCAAACCCCCACCTCAGACTCCTGACTAGCTGGAACTACAGATACATGCCACCATGACCAGCTAATTTTTGTATTTTTTTTTTTTTGTAGAGATGGGGTTTTGCCATGTTGCCTTGACTTCCTGGGCTCAAGCAATCTACCCACCTTGGCCTCCCAAGGTGTTGGGATGACAGGTGTGAGCCACTGCACCTGGCCAAGTTTCAGTCTTCTTGCTGATGGAGGGTCTTGCCTTAATGTAAGGTGGTGGTTGCTGAGCGTTGGGGTGGCTGTGGCAATTTCTTAAAATAAGACACCATTGAAGTTTGCTGTGTCAATTGACTCTCCCTTTCACAAAAGAATTATCTGTAGCATACGATGTTGTTTGATAGCTTTTTACCCACAGTAGAACTTTCAAATTGGATTCAATCCTGTCAAACCTTCGTACAGCTGTACCAACTAAGTTTATGTATTATTGTAAATCATTGTGTCAATCCTGTCAAGCCCTCCTTCTGCTGTACCAACTAAGTTTATTCTAAATCTGTTGTCATCTCAACATTGTTTACACTGTCTTCACCACGAGTAGATTTCATCTCAAGAAACCACTTTCTTTGCTCATCCTTGGAAGCAACTCATCCACTCACGTTTTCTCCGGAGGCTGCTGCAGTCTCGCCAGATCTTCAGGCTCTGTCTCTGATTCTAGTGCTCTTGTTATTTCCACCATATCTGCAGTTACCTCCTCCACAGAAGTCGTGAACCCCTGTGTCATCTGTGAGGGTTGGAATAATCTTCCCAACTTCTCTCTCTCTCTCTCTCTCTTTTTTTTTTTTTGAGATGAAGTCTTGCCTGGGCTGGAGTGCAGTGATGCGATCCCAGCTCACTGCAACCTCCACCTCCCAGGTTCAAGCAATTCTGCCTCAGCCTCCCAAGTGTTTGGGATTACAGTCACCCCCGACCAGGCCCAGCTAATTTTTTGTGTGTTTTTAGTACAGACAGGATTTCACTATGTTGGCCAGGCTGGTCTCAAATTCCTGACCTCGTGACCCACGTGCCTTGGCCTGCCAACATGCTGGGATTACAAGTGTGAGCCACCACGCCCGGCCCCAACTTCTCCTAATGTTGCTATTTTGATCTTATTTTTTAAATCATGAATGTTCTCAATGACATCTAGAATGGTGAATCCTTTCCAGTAGGTTTTCAATTATTTTGCCCAGATCCATCAAAGGAATCACTTTCTAGAGAAGTTATAGCTTTATGAAATATATTTTTAAGTGATAAGACTTGAAAGTTGAAATTATTCTTTGATCCAAGGGCACCAGAATGAATGTTGGGTTAGTAGGCATGAAAACAATATTCAGCTCTTTGTACATCTCTGTAAAAGCCCTTGAGTACCAGGGGCATTGTCAGTGAGCGGTAATACTTTGAAAGGAATCTTATTTCTTGAGCAGTAGGTGTCAACAGTGGGCTTCAGATATTCAGTAAACCATATTTGTAAGCCGATAGTCTGTCATCCAGGCTTTGTTCCCATTTGTAGAGTACAGACAGAGCTGTGTTTTATCATAATTCTTCAGGGCCCTTGGATTTTCAGAATAGTAAATCATCATTGGTTTCAAGTTAACATCACCAACTGCATTAGCCCTTAACAAAAGAGTCAGCATGTCCTTTGAAGCCTTAAAGCCAGGCATCAACTCCTCTCTAGCTGGGAACATCCTAGATGGCATCTCCTTCTAGTAGAAGGCTGTTTTGTCTCCATTGCAAATCTATTTAGTGTTGCCATCTTAATCAGTTATCTTCTAGATAGCTTTCTGCAGCTTTTCCATCAGTACTTGCTGCTTTATCTTGCGCTTTTATGTTATGGAGATGACTTTTTTCCTTAAACCTCAAGAAACAAGCTCTTCTAGCTTCAGACTTTCCTTCTGCAGCTGCCTCACCACTCTAAGTCTTCATAGAATTGAAGAGAGGCCGGGTGCGGTGGCTGTCACACCTGTAATCCTAGCACTTTGGGAGGCCGAGGCGGGCAGATCACCTGAGGTCGGGAGTTCGACACCAGTCTGACCAATGTGGAGAAACCCCGTCTCTACTAAAAATACAAAAAAATAGCCAGGTGTGGTGGTGCTTGCCTGTAATCCCAGCTACTTGGGATGCTGAGGCAGGAGAATGGCTTGAACTTGGGAGGCAGAGGTTGCGATGAGCCAAGATCACGCCATTGCACTCCAGCTTGGGCAAGAAGAATGAAACTCTGTCTCAAAAAAAAAGAAAAAAAAGTAAAAAGAGAGTTAGGCTTAGGCTTAATGGAATGTTTTTTGTTTTTTTTTCATCTTCTATCTAGACCAATTAAACTTTCTTCATAACAGCAGCAAGATTGTTTAGCTTTTTATCATTCATGTGTTCACTGGAGCAGTACTTTAAATTTCTTTCCAGAACACTTCGTTTGCATTCACAACTTGGCTAAGTGTTTGTTGCATGAGGTCTAGCTACTGGCCTGTCTTGCTTACAGCATGCCTTCCTCACTAAGCTTAATTATTTCTTCCTTTTGGTTTAAAGTGACAGACATGCAACTCTTCTTTCATGAACATATAGAGGCTATTGTAGGGTTATTAATTGGCCACATTTTAATATTAATAAAAAGAAGCCTGAGAAAAAGAGAAAGAGAAATGGCCCGTTGGTTGGGCAGTCAGAACAAACGCATTTGTCAATTGTTTGCTGTCTTATCCTGGTGTGATTTGTGGTTCCCAAAACAATGACAACAGTAGCATTAAAGATTACTGATTACAGATCACCACAACAGATTCAATAATAAAAATCTTAAAATACTGTGAGAATGACCGAAATGTGACACAGAGACGTGAAGTGAGCACGTGCTGTAGGAACAATGGTGCCAGTGAGACCTGCTTATTGCAGGGTGGCCACAAACCTTCAATACGTAAAACACATGGTCACAAAACACAATAAAGCAAAGTGCAGTGAAACAAGATGTGTCTGTCTTTTGATAGACTCTGACAATCTCTACCTTTGAATTGGTACATTCATACCATTAACATTCAAAGTGATTATTGATATCATTGGATTAATATCTACTATATTTGTTACTGTTTTCTATTCATTCTCCTCAGTCTTCATTCTTTTGTCTACCACTCTTTTTCTGCCTTTTGCAGTTTTCATTGATGATTTTAGATGACTCCATTTTCCCTGTCTTTCTTAGTACATACTTCTCTTTTTAAAACTTTTTTTTAACTAGTTGCCACAGAATTTGCAATATACATTTACAACCAATTCAAGTCCACTTTCAAATAACACTATCCAACTATCCCACAAATAAGACTACCTGCTTAACAAACAAAACACCTAATTCCTCAGTAACATTTACAACCAATTCAAGTCCACTTTCAAATAACACTATCCCACTATCCCACAAATAAGACTACCTGCTTAACAAAGAACACACCTAATTCCTCAATATACATTTACAACCAATTCAAGTCCACTTTCAGATAACACTATCCCACTTCACGGGTGACTACCTGCTTAACAAAGAAAACACCTGATTCCTCCCTCCCATCCTTCCATTCCATTCCTTGTATTATTGTTCCTTATTTCACTTGTGTATAAGCATGCATAATCTATCTGTGTGTATTTATTATTATCTACAAACTTATTGGTCAGATCAATTATGAATAAATACATGTTTTTATTGTACCACAATGCCTCCCTACCATCCTTCCATTCCATTCCTTGTATTAGTGTTACTCATTTCAATTGTATATAAGCATACATAATATATCTGTATTTGTTATTGTCTATGATCTTCTTGGTCAGATCAATTAAGAATAAATACATAGGTTTTTATTGTACCACAATTCTTTCTTTAATGCTCTTTTTAAAAAAATGTTGATCCAGGTTTCAGTTATATATCTTTTGTTTCCCTAAAGAATTTCATTTAACATTTCTTGCAAGACAGGTCTCCTGGCAACAAGTTTCTTGAATTTTTATTTTTCTGAGGAAGGCCTTAATTCTCCTTCACTTTTGAAGGGTGGTTTCAGTGGGTACAGAAACTTAGGTTGGTGGGTTTTTTCTGTCAACATTTTGAATTTTTCATTTCACTGTCTTCTTACTTTCACAGTTTCTGAAATGTTGAATGCAGTTCTTATCTTTGTGTCTCTGTAGGTAAGGTGTTTTCTGCCCCACCTCTGGTTTCTTTCAGAGTTTTCCTTTATCTTTTATTTCATATAGTTTGAAAATTATATGTCCAAGTGTAGGTTGTTGGTATTTATTCTGCCTGGTGTTCTCAGAGCTTCCTGGATCTTTGGTTTGGTGTCTGACATTAATACTGGAAGTTCTCAGACATGGTTGTTGCAGAACTTTCTTCTATTTCTTCTCCTCTTGGTATTCTCATTACTGTTTCACCTTTTGTAGTTGTCCCACAGTCTTGAATATCATCTTCTGTTCTTTTCAGTGTTTCTTTTCTTTAGTTTTCGAAGTTTCTGATGATAAATCCTCAAGCTCAGAGATTTTTACTCAGCTGAGTCCAGTCTACTAATAAGCCATCAGAGGTATTCTTCAGTTATTTACCACGTTTTTCATCACTACATTATGTTGAAAGTTCTTACGATGTCTGTCTTTCTCATTACATTACCCATCTACACTTGAATACTGTCTACTTCATTCATTAGGCCCTTAGCATATTCTCCAGAGGTTTAAAAAAAAATTCCAAGATCATATCTTTGTCTGCTTCTGAAGCTTGCTCTGTTGACACAAATTGTATTTTTTTCTTTTTTTGGATTTTAGTAAGCCTTGCAATTTTTTCCCTTTATTCTGATGCATGAAGTACCCACTAAAAGTGACTGTTGTTAGTATAGCTTCAGTAATGCGGTGATGAGGTGACAGGGCAGGTGATGCTCTCTTAGTCTCTTTAGGCTACTATAACAAAATACTTCAGACTGAGTAATTCATAAACAACAGAGATTATTGTTCACAGATCTGGAGGCTGGAAAGTACAAGACTAAAGGGCCAGGATATTTGGTGTTTGGTGAAGGTCAAACATTCAGACACTCTCAACGACTATAGCGACAGCAGCAGTCTTCAGGAATCCTATGTGAGGGACAAACACTCAGAAGCCAGCTGGAGTGTTCTAGAATCCTATGTGAGGGCCAAACATTCAGACCCCAGCAGTAGTGTTGTGGAATCCTATGTGAGGGACAAACATTCAGACCACGGGAGCAGTGTTCTGGAATTCTATGTGAAGGACAAACATTAAGACTCTCATAGCAGTGTCCTGGAATCATATGTGAGGGACAACCATTCAGACACCAGCAGAAGTGTTCTGGAATCCTAGGTGTGGGAAAAACATTCAGAACCTAGTAGCAGTGTTCTGGAATCCTATGTGAGGGACATACATTCAGACCACGGCAGCAGTGTTCTGGAATGGTATGTGAAGGACAAACATTCAGACCCTTGTAGCAGTGTTCCAGAATTTTATGTGAGGGACAAACATTCAGACCACAGCAGCAGTGTTCTGGAATCCTATATGACGGACCAACGTGCAGACCCTTGCAACAGTGTTCTGGAATACTAGGTGAGGGAAAAATATTCACACCCTTGTAGCAGTGTTCTGGAATTCTATGTGACTGACAAACATTCAGACTCCAGCAGCAGTGTTCTGTAATCCTATGTGAGGGACAAACATGCAGACCCCAAGAGCAGTGTTCTGAAATCCTATGTTAAGGGAAACATTGAGACCCCAGCATGAATGTTCTGGAATCCTATGTGAGTGACAAACATTCAGACCACGGCAGGAGTGTTCTGGAATCCTATGTGAGGAACAAACATTCAGACCACAGCAGGAGTGTTCTGGAATCCTATATGAGGTATAAGCATTCAGACCCTCATAGCAGTGTTCTGGAATCCTATGTGAGGGAGAAGCATTCAGAGCACAGCAGGAGTGCTCTGGAATCCTATGTTAGGGACAAACATTCAGAACCTCGTAACATTGTGCTGGAAACCTATGTGAGGGACAGGCATTTAGACCCTCGCAGCAGTGTTCTGGAATCCCATGTGAGGGTCAAACATTCAGATCCTCGCAGCAGTGTTCTGGAATTCTATGTGAGTGACAAACATTCAGACTCCAGCAGCAGTGTTCTGTATTCCTATGAGAAGGACAAACATTCAGAATCCAGGAGCAGTGTTTTGAAATCATATGTTAAGGGCAAACATACAGACCCTAGCATCAATATTCTAGAATCATATGTGAGGGACATACATTCAGACCCTCACAGCAGTGTTCTGGAATCCTAGATGGGGGACAAACATTCAGACCCCAGCAGCAGACTTCTGGAATCCTATGTGGAGGACAAACATTCAGACAATGGCAGCAGTGTTCTGGAATCCTATGTGAGGGACAAACACTCAGAGCCTTGTAGCAGTGTTCTGGAATCCTATGTGAGTGAGAGTGCCTGGAGCCTACCCAACCTGACGCCCCCAAAGCCCTCACAGGGTCTGACCTCCCAGCATGCACCTGCCTCTCCCTGAACCCCAACTGCCCACCCTGCCTGTTCCCCAGCCTCCTCCATCCTGTGCAGCCCATAGACTGTGACCATCTCTCCAGCCACTCTGGCCCTTCCTTTACCTTTGTCCTGTCAGAATCTCTGAGCAGGATCTCCCAGGTCCATCCAAATATGTGCTTTGTCCACTTTTGACTAGGCCCTTGGGCATCACTGGGCTATCCCAGCTGTCCACAGGGCCTTCAATAATGCACATTGCACCTGGCTTATCCAAGCAGTGCTCAGCAGCCCACATTGACCAGGTCCCTGCTGACCAGACCCTGCACATCAGGTCCTCCCTGATGACACCCTCACTGATTAGACCCTCATGACCAGGCCCCACTAACAAGGCCCCCACTGCCGGGCACACAATGACAAGGACTCCACTGACCAGGACCTTACTGACAAGGACTCACTGACAAGGCCTCATGGACTATGTCCTTACTGACAAGTCCTCACTGACTAGGTCATTATTGACAAGGCCTCACTGATCAGGTTCCACTGATCATGAACTCATTCCCTGGCCCAAAGATGAGGCCCCACTGACCAGGCCTCCAGGGAACAGGTTGCCACTGATCAGGCCCCTAATAATGAGGCCTTATGTCACCAGATGCCCCTGACTGGGACCCTAGTGAGTAGACCCCACTGAACCGGCACCAAATGCTGAGATTCCCGCTGACCAAGTCACCCTGTAGACCGGTGCTACAAAAGTCACCACTGACCAAGTCCTCTCTGACCAGGACACTACAGATTAGGTCCCGCCGACAAGGCTGCCCTGACCAGGGCCCCACTGACAAGGGCCTCACTGATGAGGACACGCCCACCAGGGTCTGCTGACTAGGTCCCATGTGCCCCGTCCTGCACTGAGTAGCACCCCTTGACCTGGTCACCAGTGCCCCAGCCCATGCTGACCAGACCAGCACTAAGCCCCAGCTGACCAGGTCTCCACTGATCAAGCCCCACAGCCCAGGTTTGCACTGACCAGACACCAAACAACTGGCAGCCAATAGGTCCCCACTCACCAAAACCCCCACTACTAGACCCCACTAATGAGACCCTCTCTAAGCAGACCCCTGCTGACCACTATCCCACTAAATAGTCCTCACTGACCTAGGTCCACGGACCAGGCCCACACTGATCAGGCCCCTCCTAACCACACTGGAAATCCAAGCGGCAATGACATGTTTCATATGGCAGAAGTTGGAACAAGACAGAGAGAGGAAAGAGGTTCCACAGCCTTTTAAACTACTAGATCTCATGAGAACTCACTCACTATCAGGAGGATGGCATTAAGGGCTTGGTGCTTTGCCATTTGTGAAGGATCCACTCCCACTTTTTATGATTAAAGCTTTTTCCACCTAGGCCCCGACTCTAACATTAGGGAGTGTACTTTCACATGAGCTTTGGAAGGGGCATAGAGAAAAACCGTATTATTCTGTCCCTGACCCCACAAATCTCATGTCCTTCTCACATTGCAAGATACAGTCATGCCTTGCCAGCAGTCTCCCAAAGTCTTAACTCATTTCAGCATTAACTCAAAGTTACAAAGTGCAAAGTCTCATCTGGGTCAAGGCTACATTCTCTTTTGCCTACAAGTCTCTGAAATAAAAAGCAAGTTCACTGCGTCTAAGGTACAATGATGGTACAGGCATTGTGTAAGCTTTCCATATCCAAAAGAGAGACATTTTCCAGAAAGCTTCTTATTTTTATCTGAGGCCCCCTCAGCCTGGCCTTCACTGTCCATGTTTTTGTCAGCATTCTTGTCACAGCCATTTAACCAGTCTCTAAGATGATCCAAAAATGTTCTCATCTGTCTTCTTTGGAGCCCTCCAAACTCTTCCAACCTCTACCCATTACCCAGTTCCGAAGTTGCTTCCACATTTTTAGGTATCTTTATAGCAGTGCTCCAGTCCTCATTTGACATTTTTGGTAAGATTTATCTTGAAAAAGAGGTTTAATTGGCTCATGGTTCTGCAGAGTGGACAGGAAGCTTAGTGCTTCTGCTTCTGGGGGGCCTCAGAAATCTTTCAATCATTGTGCAAGGTAATGAAAGAGTGAATTGTCTCACATGGCAAGAGGAAATCACGGAGAGTAGGGAGTGATATAGAGTTTTCAGTGGCCAGATCTCACGAGAAGTCACTCATGATTGTGAGGACAGTACCAAGGGGATGGTGCTGAACCACTCATGAGAAATTTGCCTTCATGATTCAATCACCTTATACCAGGATCCACCTCCAACATTAGGAAGCATAATTCAACAAGAGATTTGGTGGGGACACATATTCGAATTGCCTCATCAGTCTTTGAGTATAAAGACATCCATAGCAGGCTTTATCCAGCCAGCTTCTTTGGGATTCTTTATAGGGTTTCAGATCTATAGAATATCCACTAAAATATTCCTACTTCAAAAGGCAATAAAGTAAGTGGTATTATCATTCTTCAAAAAGTTATAATGGTAGTGTAGGCATTCATAGTATGATTTAGTTCATTTGCTACTGTTTCTATTCTATCACCATATTAACACTTTCGTACACAATTCTATATTCAGCTGGGTTTCAGTTGAGCACAAAGTCATCCTTGTACTACCACCGATAGCTGGCACCAGCTCTTTGATACTGTTATCATTCTGCTGTAGAAAGTACCCGTGAACTGGAAAAAGTCCACACTCGAATAGCTAGTCATTCAACACTATCAAATTTTAGGTGACTTTTTGAAAAAATAGTATCTCTTGTTGCAAGAAATGCTCCATCTGTGATTTCAAGTCTCTCACTTGAGTGAATTGGATGGAAGTGGTGAATTTCAGCCAAAGTGGCCAAAGAAATCCTGTTCCTGTGATAATGACTCCATCAGCCTCTGCACCTCTGTCTTCCCTTCTGCCACATGTTGTCTGTTCTCCGTGACTTTGGTAAGAGCTTCCTTGTGTATGTGAATGATGTCCAGGATGTTTGTCTTGTGTCCCTGAGACAGCACTAACAGGTCCATGGCTGGGTCCAGGTCCTTCCTGGACTGACTGGCAAAGAGCTCACTGACAGAGTGGAAGGCATCTATACTGAAGTGGATGGCCTGGTCCAGCTCCAAGGCCTGGCTGAGGCTGAAGAAGAACTGTCAGGCTTCTGATGCTCTTTCTCAAAGCCTGCCACCACTCATTGGCTGTGAAGTTGACCTGAGTGCCCTGTTGTCCATCTTCTTGATGAAGCACTTGAAGCCATCAATCTTGCTCTCCCACTCCTAAAAGTTGAGTGTCACACTGGGGGTGGGCTCAGGGCCAGGAAGAATCTGGCACTCACCATCTCATCCTTCTCAGCCTTCCTCTTGCCCTGTCTCCAGGCTATCTCTTCAGTGCTGGTGGGGCACATCAGGAAGTGACAAAAAATGTGGCACTGCACCTGCATCCAGAAGCTGGCTGTGTGGTTCATCTGCAAGATTGGGCCCTTTCTGCACTTGAACATAGATCCACTTCACCATAGATGCCTTCCACACTGTCAGTGAGCTCTTTGCCCATCAGCCCAGGCAGGATCTGGACCCAGTCATGGACCTGTTAGTGCTGTCTCAGGGACACCAGGTCAACATTCTGGACATCATCCACGTACACAAGGAAGCTCTTACCAGAGTCCTCCTCAAGATGGCCTGTGGTCTGCCTCTTGGCACCCGAGAAGCCCACAGTGCTGTAGAAGCCCCGATGCTTGGACTGGAGCCCCAAAGGCGGCACACACCCCAGTTCTGAGCCTGCTGCTCATTTCCTCTATGTGGCTCCATTTGCAGCACATTTGTTGCACTGAGACCTGTGCATGCCAGGCAAAGCCAAGCTGGCTCAAAGAGCAACCACCCACCTCTGCAAGGGTGTGCCAGGAGCCAGTGGACCAGCCACCAACGTCACTCCCTGCCAGTCAGGGTAAATCAGTTATTCTGCCCTGGAGGTGGAGCCCCAGTGCCATCTGCTTTTCCTCAGGCCTCCACTCCATCAGCTGTCAGGTGGTGGTCACTCAGACTGTGGGAAACTGGCCATCCCTGTTTCCTTGAGTGCGTGAGGTTGGTGACTGCTCCACCTGCTACTGGCATACCCTTGCAGAGGTGGCTGGTTGCTCTTTGAGCCAGCTTGGCCTTGCCTGGTATGCACAGGCCCCAGGTACTGAGAAGCTGCTCCGAGTAAGTTTGTCTTGGGCCAAATTCTAAGTCTGGCCAGGGCCACAGAAGGCCGAGTCCCCTGGGTGGTAATCCTGGCTGCTGCAGGGGGGCCCATGGTCCCCCTCCCCTCCCAGGGCTCAGGATGAGGTCCGACTGGGACAGGATGCTTTAGGTATGGGACTTGTGCCCCAGGAGGGGACCTCTGTCACACACGTTGGGTGAGAATATGTATGGCATGCTGCTGGCTGCCAGGGCTGTTGGGATGCACGTTCACCCTTCCCTTCAGGGACCTCAAAGTGACCAGCTTCCCCTTTATGAGTGACTTCCCAAGGCCCAGGAGCCATTTGGGGCTGCAGAGCAGCTGGCTGCATGCTGCCCTGGCTTCTTCCATGTTGTGCTGGTCACTACCTACCAAGGGGTGTCAGATGCAGGCACAATGTAGGACGATTGTCTCTGGGCCTGTGTCTTGGTTATCATGGAGCTAGACTGGGCCTGGTGACAGGGCCCTGATGGGGTTGTCCTGTGTGGTCACGGAGGTGATCAGAAAAGATGCAGAATGGAATTGCTGCGAGGATGAATGAGATGACTGTCAGCACATAACAGGCAGCTGGTGAGTGTTCAGGGATTACCCTCAGTAGCTGCCCAGAGACCAAAACCATCCACCTGATAGTGACTTTTCCCAAGCCAGAAGGAAGAGAAAAGAGCAGGTCCCACTCACCTGAATCTGATCAGTGAGCTGTGTTGAGATGTGCCTCTCATCTAGAAAATGGTCCTTCACGCAGAGCTACTCACAGACACTGCTGTGTGTCTCTAACTGCTCCACAACACAGAGGCGATGGGGACTCAGCAACAGTGACATTCTGGGGTGACACAACCCACCACCATGGGAGTCTGCTTGGGTCAACAGGGCCCAGAGTCCGTGTCCTCTATCCCCTGAACTGACATGTGTGTATGCAATGTATTTGTGTATGCATATGTGCCTGTGTGTGTGTGAGTGTGTATGTGTGTGTTTGTCTTGCTTCTCTGGACAGGCCTAGCTTCTCCACTCATGGGTGCACCCAGGTCCTCATCACTGTCACCTTAGAGCATTAGAGCCTCTATAGGTGCTCCCCAATCTCTGCCCTCCCCACCCATGGTGGTCCTGGGGATGCAGACAGAGGAGGGGCACTGCATAATGCTGAGAGGGCTGGCACCCTCTCTAGGTGGAACACAGGTCATTTGTAAAGTTGTAGGTCTGCCAAGCAGTATTGGATTCAACACATCTTCTCACCTTCTCTTTCCAGCCACCCTCCAGGGTGCCCCGACTCACTTTCCCTGCAGATGGAGGCAAGGAGGCTCCACAGACAACCCCCC
Organism: Homo sapiens; assembly: GCF_000001405.40. Classification (NCBI taxonomy): domain Eukaryota; kingdom Metazoa; phylum Chordata; class Mammalia; order Primates; family Hominidae; genus Homo; species Homo sapiens. The sequence goes on from NC_000021.9 coordinate 9,367,244, forward strand.
TGCCTGAGGTCACATAGTGGCCAGCAGGCCAGGTACTGACAAACTGCCCCTGACCAGGTTCCCAGTGATGAGTGATGAGACCCCTAATGACCACTCCTCCATTGACCAGGTCCCACTGATCAAGTCCCCACTGACCATGTCTTCCTAACCAGGCCCACACTTAATAGGCCTCATGGGCCAGACCCCACTGACCAATTTTCCACTGACCTGGTCCCCATTGACAAGACAGGGTTCCCACTGACAAGACCACAATTTACCAGGTTGCTGCTCAACCGACCCCCCACTGAACAATTCTCCATGAACGAGTACCCAGCTGACTGAGCCCCCTCTGACCAGGCCCTCACTGACCAGGCTCCAAGCCACTAAGGCCCCACACTGACCAGGCCCGTGATATATTGTGTATGCCCCACCAACCAGTTTTTCATTGTTTATGTTCCAACAGATCAGGCCCCACTAATAAAGCCACCACTGACTAGGTCCCCCCACTGACCAGGCTTCCAGTGACTAGGTCACCAGGTCCCCACTGATGAGGCCTTTACTGAGGAGGCCGCCACTAACCAGGCCCCTGCTGATCAGGTCCCAAATGACCAGGTCCTGATGACCAGGTCATCTCTGACCATGGTCCACTGACCAGGCCCCGGAGCAACGGGGTTCAAAGTCTCATTACAATGTCCCCCTCAGCTCATAGACCCTCCCTCCCTGCATGTGTGCCCAGAAGTCAGGCCCTGGGGTTTTTTTTTGGGACGTGGCCTTTCCTCCAAGACACAGGGAGAGACAGTTGGCCTCAGGCTCCAGGTTCCCAGCTCCACACTCACCCCAAAGGCCCTCTGGGCCCGTCTCAAAGGAGAAAGTGAGGTGGCCTGACACTGCCTGGACACACCATCTACCCTATTCCTGAGTGTCAGGGTGTGAGGAAGGGAGGGACATTTGGTAGATAAGGCACGCTGTGCTGTTGGGTCTCTCAGGGCCCTTCCCACAGAGCCCCGATCTAAAGACAGAACACAGAGGCTACAGGAAGACTAATCCAGAACCTCTGAGACAGCCAGGGACCACATGAGGACTCTCCCCAGACAGCCAGAAGGCCCTTTGCTAGTTTCTTGGTACTTCAGTGGATGTGGCAGTGGTTCTTCTGTTGGGGACCAGTGAGTACACACTGGGGAGGGCTCACCTGTGCTTCCTCAGTGGCTCCACCTCTGCTTCTAAAAAAAATGACTCATTCCAGAGCTGGCGCAGAGAAAATACAAGCTGAGCTTAGAACATCTTCTGCCAGAAAGTAAAAAAGTGCCGACAGAGTAATGGAGACAAATCAAAGAGACATAAAGTCAGCTTGGAATGTCTACTACTGGCCTAATCTTGGGGAATTGGAGCATCAGAATCATGAGCTTTCCTTCTCCCTTATTTATTGGTTTTATTTCTCCATGTAGAACAAAGAAGAGAATAAGAAAATAATCATCTGGTAACCATCATAGTAATAATTGTTCAAACACAAGTCATCCATGAAATGCTAAATCTAGTGGGTTCTGAGGAGTAACCAGATATTTACAGAGCCTCAAAGTATCTCCATACAAAATACGGTTGAACTACAAAAAGAAAATTGTAACATTAGCATGGACAAACCTGGCAGGTACTCCTTAACTCTCCTAAGTAATAAAAACTGTAAAATGCAAATAAGCCTTCGATGACCTTTACTAACCTTTACTAAAGTATCAGTGATGACTTGGTTGTTTAAACAGCTGACATTTGGGCAATTTGAGTATGTCAAACTCAATAATACTGGTTTTCATTTGCAAGATCCACTTAAAACTTAAGGAGGCCAAAAAACATCATTTAAAATACCCTATAAATTATAATCATACATATGATACAAAAATATCCTACTTCAGTAAATATTGGAATGTTATATATTTTATGAGAAACAATTAAAATGTGTAAATAGCCCAGTAATAAAGTTTTATAATCTTTTAAATCATCATAGAATTTTTCCTTAAGACTTTATGGTTAAATATTCTCTTCATTAGATGTGGCTTACCCGTGGATTCTAGAGAAGAAAGTAGATGGGAGCAAGTGTCCAATACAGCAACAGCTGGAAAGAAAAATAAAGAATCTTGTTCTTTACCTAAAACACTTCAGTTAACTAAGTGTGAGTTTAAAAACTAAAGATTGAGAACTTTATCAGAGTTAATAAGAATGAGAAATATGTATGTACATTTACAATACAAAATTACTATTTAATAATTTACACATGGCATTAATTCTAATTGTGTTTAAATATCAGAACTTTTTCAGTCTTCATTCATGTAATCAACAGCCACATGCTAAGGTACTAGAACCAGCACTGGAATTACAAGATGAAGATGGCATGGTCCACCTCTCAACAGTCATAAGCTATAACCTAAAAAACAGACAGGCAGGCAATGTCCATATAGAGTCATAGATACCGTGACAGGTATACAGCAGGGCACTACTGGAACACAGAGAAGGGACATCTACCCACTTTTATGTCAATATCATGGGCTTTCTGGTGGAGGAGATAACATAGGTTGATACCTGAAGGACAAGGAAAAGCTTCCCAGATAGAGGAAAGAGGCAAAGGCAAAGAGCCTGAGGTGAGGAAGAGCCCTGCAGAGTTCCACTCCATCCAGTTTGGTGCTAGAGCAAAGGGCAGAGTGCAGTAAGTGGTGAGAAACAAGGCTGAGTAACTTGGCAAGAATTACATTGACATGGGTGTTTTTATTTCATGGTGAAAAATTTGGAACTTTTCCTGAGAACAAGTGTAAGCCAATGACACAGTAAATTAGAGGAGATTTAAAATGTCACCTGTCAAGTGACTGCTTATGAAGGGTTATTGCTCAGCTAAGTATTTCTGAATGAGTCTTAGTCTGTTGGCCTTCAATCTCTACCGAAACCCTGAGAACTTGATGATGCTTTTGTTTTCTGAGAATCGTTTCAGTGTGCTGGCTGACAGTTCCATGAGGATGGCAAAACTTAAGAAACTGTAGAGCCAGTGAAAAAGAGATGCACAGACTTCTTGGGAACTGTTTAAGCTTAGGAACATGATGAATTTATGGTGCATAAGTACAGTCTTCTCTGTGAAAGTTTTTGTTTTCACATCTTTCATTAGATGTGTGTAAGAAAAAAATATTGATGTAGTATCTACTAACCCAAGAATGAAAAGGAATGCCATTTGCTATTTACACTTTATTTCTAAAATAAACCTAAATTTAATTAATAAATTTTGTCAACGTACTTCTCTTTGTTTCTCTAATTATTTATTCTACACAGTCCAGCCCCATCTAAAATAAGTAAAAATAATAATAATGTCTAAATTAAACAAGAAACATTATCATGAAAATCATGTATCACTTACAAAATGTGGCCTTTAGTATTTTTAGTGACTAGACATAACTTGAAGTTTGCTTAAATAGAAAAATAATCACATAAATAAAATAAAATTTCTACTTATTTTAAGTTTAGATAACAGAGGATGTATATGTGTAATGCTGTTTAGAGTAATCTGACAAAAATGCAGTTAATATTGATCTATTGCATATACATGATTTTAGAAAGGTAGTGTTTTATTAGTACAAAGGTTAAACAATGGCCAGGCATGGTGGCTCATACCTGTAACCCCAGCACTTGGGGAGGCCAAAGCAAGCAGATCACAAGGTCAGGAGATCGTGACCATCCTGGCCAACATGGGGAAACCCCATCTCTACTAAAAATACAAAAATTAGCTGGGCGTGGTGATGTGCACCAGTAGTCCCAGCTACTTGGGATACTAAGGCAGGAGAATTGCTTGAAGCCAGGAGGTGGAGGTTGCAGTGAGCCAAGACTGCACCACTGCACTCCAGCCTGGTGAGAGAGTGAGACCCTGTCTCACACACACACACACAAAAAAAGATTAAGTAATTAAAGCCATCTTTTGCAATGAATGCATTGCTTTGAAATTCTTAGAAAACTTTGCCCTTTATAAAAGTTTAATCCATTTTTTACTTCAATAAATTTTATCTTAAAAAGAAATTTCTGTTCTCTACTTATAGTAAACTTTTCTTTTTTTTTTCTAGTTTGTATTCTAAATTAACGTGGTACCTCTGTAAGTTTCTTCCAAAGGCATATTGAGGGATACCGAGGTTTGCAGTACAATTAAACCCATCACACAGGTTGTGAGCATAGGACCCAAGAAGTAGTTTTTCAACCCTGGCTCACTCTGTCCCTCCCCATTCTTATTTCCCAGTGTCTATTATTCCCACCTTTATGACAATGTGCACCCAATATGTAGCTCCCACATGAGTGAAAACATGAGATATTTGGTTTCTGTTTCTGTGTTGGTTTGCTTAGGAGAGTGGATTCCAGCTGTATTCATGTTGCTGCAAATGATGTGATTTTGTTCTTTTCATGGCTGCATAGTATTCCATGGTATATATGGAATTTTCCAATCTACCTTGGATTTTCAATCTACCTTGGATGTACCTGGATTGACTCCACGTCTTTGCTATTGTGAATAGTGCTGCAATGAACATACATGTGTATACATCTTTTTGTTACAATGATTTATTGTCCTTTCGGTATACCCCTAGTATAGTAATGGGGTTGCTGCATCCAACAGTCATTCTTAGTTCTTAATTTCCAAACTGCTCTCCATAGTAGCTGAATTAATTTACATTGCCACAAACGGTTTGTGTTCCCTTTTCTCCACAGCCTCCCCAACATCCTTTTTTAAGTTTTTATTTATTATTTGTTTTTAACAAAAGTCATTGTGACTGGTGTGAAATGGTATCTCATTGATGTTTTGTGTGGCATTTTTCTGATGATTAGCAATGGTAAGCATTTTTTAATGTTTGTTGGCCACTTACGTGTGTTATTTTGAGAACTGTCTGTTCATGTCCTTTGCCCATTTATAATGGTCTTATTTATTTTTTGCTTGTTGATTTGTTTAGGTCTCTTATGGATTCTGGATAATAGGCGTTTGCTATATCCATACTTTGTGAATATTTTCTTCCATTCTTTTAGGCTTTCTGTTTAATCTCGTGATAGTTTCTCATGCTGTGCAGAAGCTATTTAGCTAAATTAGATCACACTTGTCAATTTTTGTTATTCTTGCAATTGCTTTTGAGGACTTAGCCATAAATTAATTGACAAATATGATATCCAGAAGAGTATTTCCTAGGTTTTTTCCAGGATTTTTATAGTCAGAAGATGTACTCTTATGTAAAGAAAGCACAAACCTTTTTTTTGTTTTGTTTTGAGACAGAGTCTCCATCACCAAGGCTATAGTGCAGTGGTATGATCTTGGCTTACTGCAACCTCTGTCTCCTGGGTTCAAGTGATTCTTCTGCCTCAGCCTCCTGAGTATCTGAGATTACACATGCCTGCCAACACGCCTTGCTAATTTTTGTATTTTTACTAGAGACAGGTTTCATCATGTTGGCCAGGCTGGTCTCAAACTCCTGACGTCAGGTGATTCACCTGCCTCGGCCTCCCCAAATTTTGGGATTACAAGTGTGAGCCACCATGCCTGGCCAAGCACAAAGCTTTTAAAATAAAAAGGGAAATGAACATTTTAGTGTTTTGTTTAATTCATAAAATGCAATTATTTTGGATTCTACTAAATAATAAACATCCATATGTGGCAAAGTGGATGCTAATCATTCAGTCGTGATTATGGGTGGGAAGAATTGAGATGGTGCAAATAAACTTTTTTAATTTTTTTTTTTATTTTCAAGATGGAGTCTTGCCCTGTCACCCAGGCTGGAGTGCAGTGGTGCAATCTCAGCTCCTGCAACCTCCGTCTCCCAGGTTCAAGCAATTCTCTGCCTCAGCCTTCCTAGTAGCTGGGATTACAGGTGCCCACCACCACACCAGGCTAATATTTTTTTTGTACTTTTAGTAGAGTTGGGGTTTCACCATCTTGGCCAGGCTGGTCTTGAACTCCTGACCTCGTGATACACCTGCCTCAGCCTCCCAAAGTGCTGGGATTACAGGCATGAGCCACCACACCTGGCTGGTGCAAAGAAACTTTAAAAGTGGCATGGGCCGGGTGCGGTGGCTCATGCCTGTAATCCCAGCACTTTGAGAGGCTCAGGCAGGCAGATCACAAGGTCAGGAGTTCAAGAAGAGCCTGGTCAATATGGTGAAACCCTGTCTCTACTAAAAATGCAAACATTAGCTGGGTGTAATGGTGGGTGCTTGTAGTCTCAGCTACTCAGGAGGCTGAGGCAGGAGAATCACTTGAACCCGGGAGGTGGAGGTTGCAGTGAGTGGAGATGACACCAAGACACTCCAGCCTGGGTGACAGAGTGAGACACTGCCTCAAAAAAAAGAAAAAAAAAATGTGGTATGAACCACAGCTAAACTATAATCAATTAGAAAGTAAGCCAGACCATCTCAAAGTATATCATCACTTATCAGGCAATAACATGCAATTTCTAAAACCTAACTTAAATGCAGCTTTTAAAGACATTTCAAACATGTCAGTTTAGTCACATTTATTGAATAAAGTTAGCAAATGGATATCTCTTGAAAATGAGAGCTCCAGGGAATTAAAAAATGTAAAGTTCCCATTTCCTTTCTGTGTTAACACAGCTAATTGTGATCTTTACTTCACATGCAAAAGTCAACAGAACAACTCAGTATTTCACCAAATTATAAACAAGAATTACGCTAGAGAAATGAAACCCTAAAGAGAAACGGTCATATAACTAACCTCAGTCAAGTAGTTCTGGCAGTTATTTGAAGTCTGAGGTTTGAAGTAGGAATTCTTACGGGCATTTGGAGAATATATTTTCTGTTGAGTCCTATACTAGTAAGATTTTCAACACAAGGTGACTCTCGACCTCGCCTTGTAGGAAGAGTGCTGAGAAAATATTTCACCTGCTCTTTCTCCATAAAGAGCTGATACTGATCATTGCTATTTTCTTATTCGATCTGTAAAGGTAGCAAAGACAAATGCTTAATATTTCATTTTTCCTTAAATGATTCTTAATGACTTGCAGTTTTTAAAAACTTACCCTGAGAGTAAACCAAATTACCCACTAAATAGTGTTTTCACACAGAAGATGTGTAAGAGCATACCTGTTGTAAGGAATTATAATTTTAAAATCATTCTAAAGAAGCACCATTGTTTCTAAGGTGATTTCTACTGAACAAGCAGTTCAAACAAAGTAGACAGGGAAGAGAAATGGCTATCAGTGATGTATGGCTCAACAGGTAAAACTTCCTGCCTTCTAAAATGGCTGTACTTGGAAGATTCTGAAGATTCCATTAGAAATACTTGTATTTAAAGGGTAATAATGTGGGAAAATGAATATGTTGATTTGCTTGATTATAAGAACCACTTCACTAGAAATAATTATATCAAAACATCATGTTGTACTCCTTAATGTAGGTTAAGAAAACTAAAATGAACGAAAAAAAATCTAGGAACACTTGTGTTTAGTAAACCAGTTTTAGATTTCACTCTTGTACATTTCACCCATTATCTAGGACCAATTAAACATTTGGCACTGAGGAATAATTCAGAGCAACAACTCCTAGGGGAGAACTAGATTGTCTGGTTGGTGATCAAAAAGAATTAAAGCATCTCTGAAGGCAATTAGTCCCCAACACTGTGACCAAGGCCCTGGAGGTGGGGCATGTTCTTTCTGCCTTCCACACACCGCTTCAGGCTGAACAAGGTGTTATTTTTTAACCGCTTTGTGAATTACACTTCTTTAAATTCCTGTGATAATTATTCCCTATTTCACAAGGGTGCCTTTCTGTAACATCTTGAATATGTTACACAAATAGTCTTTCTTGAGGCACCCTCTGGTGATAATACTAAAGATCACAATCAAAAACAATTGTGCCCAGAGTAGAAGTACCACTTTGCATTTAGGTTGTGATCCACTGAAAAGTAAATTAAACACATTAATATTTCTATTTAGGGAAATTCTGACAAGTAATTTTATAACAAGGTCACTTCATTGATTATAAAGCTTCAAAAATACTTAGTGAAAAAAACTAACAGATCAGGTTAATTACATGAGACTTTTCAGGAAAAAAAGCCATACAAAAGCAAAAAAAAAAAAAAATGAGAGGAGAGACAAAAACTATCTTTGACTAACATTTTAAAGGTAAAATTATTTACTAACATTATTTTTCAAAATTACATTGTCAAATTAGCATTCACTTCCTTCTAATCTGAAGCCATCTCACTAAAAATTATGCTTTTGAAACAAATTAATGAGCTTAATTCATTTTCTATGAGTGTATGTTTTGACTTACTTAGTTAATTTTTTAGACATGGAACTGTTAGCTTTCAATGCTGCTGCAAAGGCTTCCTTATATTCTTCTAACTCAGTTGTAACCTCTTCATAAGCAGTTTTCATTTTGTAGAATTTACATTCCACATCTTTAAGTGTGAGTTCCTTCTTATTTAGTGAAGCTGTATTATATCCTTGTTTAACTGCTCTAATTGTTTTTTATATTGTGCTTGTTCCTAAAACAGAGGAAAAGAATACACTTTTAAAACAATTATAACCTAATTATTATGTTTGTTGCCTTTCATTTTGAGTCAGCGATTCAAAGAGTATTTTTGAATATGTTAAAAAAGAGGATGAAGTTTAAAATATTTCAGCAATATCAAAACTAATAACTGAATTCAGAATTAAGTCTGATTTGTAAAAATTTGAAATCATAATTATGCTAGTATTAATGTAATCTGGTCATATAAAAAGTAATAGAATCCATTCATAGTCTTAAAAAGTGATCAATGAACACTGTAGCTTAAGACCAATTCATAATTATCACATAATTTCTAAATCACAATTTTTTCCTATGCCAACTGGTCTTAATCATCAAATTACTCCATAATGAGAATCATTACTCTGAAAGATTGATTTTGTTATAATAATAATGGAAATTTAAATATTTAAAAGAAAAAACAGATACCATTTTTTTCTAGAACTCTACAAAGCAGATTGCTACAAGAGAGGCAATCTCTCTCTCTCTCTCTCTCTCTCTCTCTCTATATATATATATATATATATATATATAATCTCCAAAATATAATTTGCAGTGAAATAAATGAAAGCACATTACAAGTAAACTTACCTGATTTAAACAACTCACCTGTAAATGGATTTCTTCTAATTTTTCTACTGCCTGCATTGCCCTTTCATCTAGCTCTGATTTATATTCTTGTAGTTTACTAAGTTCTACCATACTGTTTTCCATATGTGTCTTAAGATTTAATATTTCTTCTTCCAACATCTTTTTATCCTCCTCAAGTTTTTCACATTCCTGTTGTACTTTTTTCATAGATAATAACTCCTGTTGAAAAACTTGATTCTCTTTAGCCAAATTGACACATTTTGAAGATACAGCTTCCTTCTCCGCCATAAGATCATCAAACTGCATGAATAAAATAGTATAGCTTGATAATGAAGTAGGCTGAGAATAATCTAATACAAAACCAATAGCAAATTTTGAAATGCATTTACTTGCAATAAAATGTTATCTGTAATGCAGCAGATTCTTCAAATGTGAACCCTTAAATTATTCAGAATTTTAAGAACAAAGTTAAAGCTACCATGAGTCATAAAAATATATTCTTTACTATCATCATCTTTGCCACAGAATTTTTGTACTTCATTTTACTTTTATTTTTCTGATAATTCATTTTTGTTCCTCCTTAAATGGCACAAAGTTATCTCCTAGTAAAAAGTGTCTAACCCCCTTCCTTCATTATCATTCCCCACAGTATGTCAAAAAAAGTTTCAGAGATATCATATTGAGTTATTTAGGCCAAAGTCAATAAATGGGTCTAGGAATAAGACTTTGAAAGTGATATTACACTCTATATTAGGCATGGTGGCTCATGCCTGTAATCCTAGCACTTTAAAAAGCTGTGGCAGAAAGATC